>NC_000010.11:3040303-3191818 GCF_000001405.40 Homo sapiens | reverse complement strand
GTGGCTCACGCCTGTAATCTCAGCATTTTGGGAGGCTGAGGCGGGCAGATCACCAGAAATCAGGAGTTCGAGACCAGCCTGTCCAACACGGTGAAACCCCGTTTCTGCTGAAAATACAAAAATTAGCCAGGCACGGTGGTGCGCACCTGTAAAGCCAGCTACTCGGGCAACTGAGGCAGGAGAATTCCTTGAACCCAGGAGGTGGAGGTTGCAGTGAGCTGAGATCATGCACTGCACTCTATCCTGGGCAACAGAGCAAGACTCCATCTCAAAGAAAAAAAAAAAAGTAAAGGAAGAAAATAGTTAACTTGGGTCAGGAGGGAGGGGTGTAGTTTGGGAGAACTAAATTATTATTTTCAGTATTTCAAAATAATATAAAATATACAAATATAAATATATCAAATATATTTCTTTAAGTCCTACCATCAAAACTCTGTAATCTACTCAGTAGTCTATCCATCAAGTCTATTTCTCAGCAGAAGTTTTATTGCATCTGATGTTAAACCAGATTTCAATGGCTGCAGGAGAGATATTGGCAAATAGGGGGTCAGAGGGCGAGAGAGAGAGGAGGGATGGGGGCCGCATTCTCCACGAATGCTTACAAGTTTCAAAGAAAGGTAGTGATGCTTGATTATAAGTGGGTGTTGTTCCTTGTGTCATCATTACTGTATAACTAACTCATGGAATAACAGAATGTTAGAACAGAAAAGGAATGTTGAGGTCGGCTTGAAGCTCTTTGTTCTGCAGAGAGGGAAATTGAAGCCCAGAGAAGTTGTGTGAGTTTCCCAGAGCCACACAGCCCAGCAGCAGCACAGCATGGAGTTGAACTCCCAGCACTCCAGCACCGTACTCAGTGAAGCGCACCTTGCTGCTGGCTTCCCACTACAAGCCAAGATTGGAATTGTGACCATAGTTTCATATGGGATTACTTTGTTAACATCCAATTCACACATGCAAAATACCTGCCAAAAACCTGGAGAAGAGTTTACCTATGAAATCACAGAAAAGACAGATGCTGTTTGTGGTGTAGCCTTAATATTTAAGGAAACTAAGTGAAATCTATGGTGCATAAATTTTTAAATTTTTCGTTAAAATATTTCCACTTATAAATCAAGCCATGTGAGATGGCCTATATTTTTAGATAAATGAATGTTTATCAATAATGTGATATGTTTAAATATTCATTATTGAACTAGGACAAACACGTCTCTTTAGAAAAGAGATAAAACAGCCTATCATAGTATTCAGGAAAAACAAAAGAATATGATACCAAACCTAAGGAGCCCTGTAGTATGTGATCACTATTAATATAGACCTGCCATTTACATTTTTAAAAAGCATGAGACTAAACGTTTTCTTGTAAAAGGCATGCAAAGATTTCATAAAGTAGCAAGCATTGATGATATGCATTGCCTTTGTTTCGCTAATCCTGCAACCCTTTTTATTCAAAATGCAGATGATCTAAGCTCCACGTTCCATCTGCTGATACAGCACTGACCTTTGATAGATGGTTCAATTTGCCAACATGGAGTGCAGGGAATGCAGAGCCACTCATGCTAGATCAGGCGCAGAGGGGTCTGTTCTTTTTTACTTTATTTTACTTTACTTTTCTCACAAGCAGACAGAGGGGTCCATTCTAAGCATATGTGTGAGGTGATGAGGAAATGGAATCTCAGGAAAATGTTTTAAAATCACAAGAGGGTCAGTTTTTATGGAAGTGAAGGGTATAGTGCGTCTAAGACAGCTCTGAGGTGCTGAAAGGGGGCCCCTAGGACCCCACTATTAACAGAATTTAGCTACACTATGTTCTGATATACTTCTTCCCACTTCCTATGCCGAGTCTTTCTTTGATTTCCAATTTAAATTATTTAGAGAGAGGGCTTTTGATTGGCTCGCCTAATAACTATTGATGAGTACATCAAGTCAGTCATAGACCTTGGCCACCTGTGAACAGAATGCTGGTGGTTCCAGGGGCCCATTTCTAAATCAGTGGGAGCCACAGGCTGTGTCCTGCAGCCCATAGTGTTGGTGGCTGAGGCTGGAGATACCAGCAGGGAATGTGAATGGAAGCCGATTTGGGGGAAGGGGCTGTGGATACATCAAGCACTGTGATTGATTTGTCTAACATGTGCATTAATGTAAAGAAATACATTCTGCAGACGTGATCTAAATGCAGAAATAAGCCGTGTCAATCAGCACTTAATACAGGGCAGGGCTTTTCTGTTCTTTTCACTCTGAGCCCTGGCAGGGTAGTTGTCTTGTTCAATCAGTGTCTCTGCAGTTTAGAAATATTTCTATATAATGGCACTTTAAATGGTGTGTAGTAAAGAACTAACCTTTGGTTGGGCACAGTAGCTGATGCCTGTAATCCTGACACTTTGTTCTATGGAGTTCTATGGAGGCCGAGGTGGGAGGATTGAGCCCAGGAGCTTGAGAGCAGCCTGGGTAGCTTAGCAAGACCCCATCTCTACAAAAAATATCTGGGCATGGTGGTGCACACCTGTGGTGCACACCTGTGGTCCCAGCTCCTCTGGGGGGAATCACTTGAGCCTGGGACATGGAGGCTGCAGTGAGGTATAATCACACCACTGCACTCCAGCCAGGGCAACAGAGAGAGGCCCTGTCAGGAGAAAAAGAAAAAAGAAAAAACTAACCTTACCCAAGGAGCACTCTGGCCTTTGCCCTCAGCTCCTGGGAGGTCACGTCTAAGCCGCAGGCATGTCTTGTCTAATAAGAGTGTTTTTGTCGAGCTAGGGCCTTGGGCCACACGCAGAGCCTAACAGCGTGATTCATGGTGGGGGCTTTGGATGGTGCATATTGGCATGACTTCATGAAGGACTGGTGCTATGGTCTGCATGCTGATGTCCCCCCAAAAACTCATGTTGAAACTTACTCCCCAGTGCAGCAGTATTAAAAGGTGTGGCCTTGGGGAGCTCGTTAGGTCATGAAGGCCCCACTCTTGTGAACGGAATCAGTGCCTTATGAAAGGGCTGGAGGTTGAAGCCAGCACACTCTTGCCCTTCTTTACCTTCCATCCTATGAGGATACAGCATTCGTCCCCCACTCCGGAGGACGCAGCCACAAGGCACCAACCGGAAGTGGAGCTCGGCCCTCTCCAGCCCCTAAACCTGCAGGCTCCTTGATCTTGGACTTCCCAGCCCCAAGAACTTGAGAAATACATTTCTGTTTTTTATAAACAGTCCGAGGTATTTTGTGATAGCAGCACAAACAGACTAAGGCAGCTGGGGCCTACAGGTCAGCCCAGTGCAGTCAACTATGTCTCTGTGACCAGGTCCAAGGGAAGCCTCCGGACGCAGGCTTGCGGAGCATCCCAGCTGCCTGTGCTCCATGTGAGCTGCCACACATTGTTTCTGGGAGCAGCAGGCTCAGCCACGATTCCACCAGGAGAGGAGGTGGCAGCTCTGTGGATCTCTCCAGGGCTCTGCCTTCAGAACCTCTCCACTTGACTGATTTTACTCTGCACCCTTTCACTGTAATAAATGCTTCTGCTGAGTTCTATGGGTCCTTCTAGTGCATTATTCAACCTGCAGGTAGTCTTAGAGATGCCCTAACTCAGCAAAGAATCATTATTCTTTATTGACCTTTTATCATTTAAGCACTTAACTGAAAATAACTTCAAGAAAGAAGCATATACAATGTAGCAGGATGACTTGTACAGGACCACTCGTGCACAAAACACCACAAACATGTATTACTGGAATTATCTTCCAGCTTTACATCTTGGAGGTACTGCTGAGCGTTTCTTCAAGATGATTCTGGGAGAAGGCTGGAGAAACATCCTAGACTTTGCCCAGTCTTCTCAACATTCCTTTGCCCTCATTCTGGCTCGCCTAAGTCCTTCTCTCTGTGCCCCACTCTTCTGCATGGACACAGTTAGGTCCTTGCATTTGTCTCTCTGTCTGCAGTCTCTCTGAACATTTACCACGACCCGGAGGTGGGCTATGCTGGCTTACAGTGGATCCAAAGCCAGTTATTAGCATCTCTGCTTTGCAGGACCTCACACTAGTCCCCGGATCCATCCACAGTGGGAGTATTTACACCAAGGGGATTTGCAAATGAGAAACATCAGCACTTTCCCTCTCCTGTCCCTACTCCAGGCCAGTATTTACCTGCTGAACATGATTCTTTAACAACTCAACTTCCACATCTCTTTGCTATATTTTGTCAGCAGCTGTAAAACACTGGCTATGGTTGCCTTCTAGACTAAAATCCCTGCCTCTGCTCAACCCACCCTCATCTGGGTCTTTGCATTTTTCTGCTCCAAGCTGTGCCTCTCGGCTCACGTGATATAGAAAGGGGATCTGTAGCCCCTGTCTTTCAGTGGAAAGAAAATAACAACCCAAACGTCCATCAGTGATAGACTGGATTAAGAAAATGTGGCACATATACACCATGGAATACTATGCAGCCATAAAAAAGGATGAGTTCATGTCCTTTGTAGGGACATGGATGAAGCTGGAAACCATCATTCTGAGCAAACTATTGCAAGGACAGAAAACTAAACACCACATGTTCTCACTCATAGGTGGGAATTGAACACTGAGAACACAGTGGGGACACAGAGTGGGGAACATCACACACTGGGGCCTGTCGTGGGGTGGGGTGTAGGGGGAGGGATAGCATTAGGAGATATACCTAATGTAAATGATGAGTTAATGGGTGCAGCACACCAGCATGGCACATGTATACATATGTAACAAACCTGCACGTTGTGCACATGTACCCTAGAACTTAAAGTATAATTTAAAAAAAAAAGAAAAGAAAATAACTTCCTGGATGAGAGTCATTTCCAGGTGGCTGAGGGACCCCCACAAAAGTCTCTCACTGTGCTGAAAGCCTTCCTCTAAATCAGTACTTCCCACACTATTTGTGAGGAAGAAACAGCTTTGTTTTGTTTTAAATCTCCAATCCTGGTGGACTGATACTTTTCTAAAATATAATATAAATTAATTACTAGGAAAAGAAAATACAACAAATATTAAATAAGAACTCCACATTTTATCTTAAATGTAAATAAATAACATTTTTGCTAAAATGTAGTAAAAGTTGCTACACTTTCTAAATTCAGTTTCTACACTCAAATTTCCTCAATTTCTGAACTTCTAAACTCTTAGTTTCAGAACTTTAACCTCTTCTCAGCTCCCAGGTTTCAACCTCACCTCATGGTAGATCAGAAACAAACTGTTCTGAGAGCATGTTGAGTAGCAGAGATCTGAGACACTGCTCCGCCACAACAAAAGCATGACCGTATCTGCAGGAGCGTGATCGTTATTCACTTCCGTGAAGGTGACACATTTCTACTTCATGACACTAGAGAGCAAGTCTTGTGAATGAAAATAAATCGAAATTCTAAAACTCAATTTCATTTCACATATGAATGATTTTGAACAAGCAGTTGAATCCTAGCCAGGTTTTCCAATGAAGTGAGTTTGTCAACAAATCCCCTACACATTGATTTGGAAGCTAAATCTTTCCGATGCAATGAATGGACTTTGCTGGGATTCATTTAGAAGATGATGAGGCAATTAATTAGATCACCAATTAGTTGGTCCAAGTCAATTATACTGACTGCCAAGACAGCCCAACTGAAACAGGATAGGCCGGGCGCGGTGGCTCACGCCTGTAATTCCAGCACTTTGGGAGGCTGAGGCGGGCGGATCACAAGGTCAGGAGATCGAGACCATCCTGGCTAACATGGTGAAACCCCGTCTCTACTAAAAATACAAAAAATTAGCCGGGCTTGGTGGCGGGCGCCTGTAGTCCCAGCTACTCGGGAGGCTGAGGCAGGAGAATGGCGTGAACCCGGGAGGCGGAGATTGCAGTGAGCCAAGATCACGCCACTGCACTCCAGCCTGGGTGACAGAGCAAGACTCCGTCTCAAAAAAAAAAAAAAAAGGGGATAATTAATTCCCTTGACCCCTTCAAGGGACTCAGAAAGGGGCTGGCTCATTTACTGAGCTTGCAGCTCTCAACCCCTTGCAGGATGGGGAGCACACAGGTGAGCAGGTACAGAGGCCAGGATGTGTGCTTCTGGGCAACCGGCAGGAGCAGAACTCTGTGTGGGCCCACGGCAGCATCTAGGGGTTGCCCAAGACCCCCAGAGCCTCAGAGGATGTGCGTTACACTGTGCTCTTTTAGCTTTGCGTCCGTGGGTGGCTTCAGTCTTAAACAGCTCAGTGAAGGGGCAGTGTGACAGCCTCTTGCACCCACACACAGGTGGTTGTGTGGGCTCCAGGAAGAAGTGGGTCACAAAAACCAATTGAAGGGTGGTGAGTGTGCAGGATTTTATTGAGCAGTGGAAGGGGCTTTCAGTGGGATGGGGAGCTGGAAAGGGAATGGAGTGGGAAGGTGGTCTTCCCCTGGAGTTTGGCCATCCCCAGTGGAACTTCTCTTCAAGGTCCCACCGTCAAGCCGGCCCTCTGAAGTCAAGCTACTTTTCTCCAATGTCTGGCTGCTTCTTCTCTTCTCTCCTTCTCTGCTGCTCTGCCAGTGAGGCCTGGGGATTTTATGGGTACAGGATGGGGGCAGGGCGGGCCAAAAAGCAACATTCAAGCAGGAAAACAAGAATGCATGTTCTCACTTGGGCCATGGTCCCAGGTTTGACGGTGTGGCCCTCCCTGGGGACCACCCTTTTCCACCCAGTATTTTCCTGCCTTCTGTCCATATCACAACTAGGTTCATGGATGAGATGTATGTTTTCTCTAAGTATCAGGTTTAATGTTCCTCTTCATAGTACTCTAAGAACCTGAATATTCAAAATGCCTTCTAAAAACCAGAATCTGTGTTTAAATAGTTTATGTATAATTTATGCTGAAAAAGAAGAAAATCGAAATGATATATATTAATTCAACAGTTAGTTTCTCTGATACAAATTAATAAATAGACGCACAAGAACAAGCATGATGAGATCATTATACTGACTATATATTTATTCTTAAATATGTAGTGGAATAAATATGTAGTGGAAAAATGTTCGTTGAAGCAGGATACTTTTCTAAATACAACTTTCTATGGTATCATCATAACTAAAGTGGCAGTTTATGTTACCATCATAACTAAAGTGGCAGCAAAGAATTCAGAAGTGCTGATAAAGGTGAACTGCATCTGGGCCGGGTGCGGTGGCTCACACCTGTAATCCCAGCACTCTGGGAGGCCAAGGCGGGCAGATCACGAGGTCAGGAGATCGAGACCATCCTGGCTAACACGGTGAAACCCCATCTCTACTAAAAATACAAAAAATTAGCCGGGCATGGTGGCGGGCACCTGTAGTCCTAGCTACTCAGGAGGCTGAGGCAGGAGAATGGCGTGAACCCATGAGGCAGAGCTTGCAGTGAGCCGAGATCTTGCCACTGCACTCCAGCCTGGGCAACAGAGCGAGACTCCGCCTCAAAGAAAAAAAAAAGTGAACTGCATCTGTTGAGTGGGTACCTCCTAGAGAGACTAAGATGCTGTCAGTGAGGAGGAATGCGATAGCCCATGGGCAGCTCTCCTCTCTTTATTGTTGCAAAAGCTGCCTGTAGGGCACGGGGAGGAGCACTTCCAATGCATTACTGCCTTCACTGTTAGCAACGTCCTGTGTCATGAGCACTATGATTATTATCCCCCATTTCATTTTACAAACGAGATAGTAATTTCCTATAACGCGATTTAAGGGTCCTGAGAAGTCTATAGCTATCTCTTCCTTTGGGTTAATTGAAACTATCCCCATTCATTTCAAATTTAAGTATTTCTAAGAGAATAAATGTTTTTAGTGTTTATTAATACTGTGAAGAAACAACAGATTATAAGTAGGCTAAATAAATGTGTGTTCATATGTACTTTAAAGTGGCGTTGCTCAAATAAGGGATAGTAAAGAAATCTTTAAGAACCCTTTAAGAAATCTGTTTGCAGTAAGGCGATTGTTAGAATAACTATTATTATTATGACGGTAGTAATTGGTAATATCAGCTTTAAAGCTTTTAAAGTACCATTTTTTTCAGTTTCTATTAATGTCAAAGATACTACACTAAATACTTTATATATTCTATGAGATAAGAAATATTACTCCTATGTTACAGGAAATTAAAATTTAAAGAATTTAGGTAAAGTGCTGAAAGTCAAATAGCCCAAAAGTGCTGAAACTGAGATCCAAACCCAAATCTTTCTGACGACAAAACTAGTTCAATACGACCACTTCTTTTCGATTCAAAGGATAATCCTAAGCAATCTGGTAGAAATCATATTTTACACATATCATACAAAAAGCAGTAGAGTCAGATGAGGAAATCCTGTAGGAATTAAGACCAATTGAAGGCTTTTAGGCAGGAGGATGCAGAGCATCTGATAGCTTCTTTTCTGTCTTGAAGGATGCAATAGAGGAGCGGGGGGAGAGGAGGAGGGGGAAGAAGGAGGTGGAGAAGGAGGACAAGGAGGAGGAGGAGAAGAGGGGAAAGAAAATGTCATCTGAGAGACCAAAATAGGTATCCCTTTATTAACTAAGATGGACTCTAAGGTTAAGGAAATGAAATTTACCTATAAGTCTAGGGTTCAGGACTTGACTGGCATGACAACTTCCTAAATTCCTAAGGCTGCAAGAAAAACACACTCTTGCTAAACTTCCTAAGAATAGGAGTTATGAGAGCCCTCCTAATTCTGATTTAAAAGCCAGACCACAACAACTCTGACTGGGCAGAGGGCTGGCCTTACAAACACCTTTTTCTGATAAGCAACTGCAGACCTTAAGCCAGTTTCAGCAACTCATAGAGGCTGTGCAAAAACTGTCTTTGTGTAGTTCACCTTTTGAAGTAGAGAGCCACATGCCACCTCATTTTAATGCTAAAACCCACTCCAACGTGAACATGAGAGGTATGTTACATATATGGTATCCATTGCACGTGTGCTCAACCCCCTCATTAATATGTATAGCTTTCTCCCGACACCTGCTGAGTATGCAGGACTCTATTGTATGATGCGGACCCTGTGAGGCAGAAAACCCAACCTTCTCTTCCCCTCTTCCAAGAGAGGGCACCCACAGCGCACACCAGAAACTGTCTCTTCCCAATTTGCAAAATGGAATCGCAATACAGTTCTCCTTCCCACTCTTCAGTCCTCCTGGTGATCTTTTCAATGATGAAGAAAAAGAAGAAGAAAGAGATTAAGATTGAGGAGAGAAACGTAATTATCTTTTCTGCAAAGCAAAGCTTGTAGAGTTGGGGAACCGATGAACTGACTCCAGCTCCCGGTGACATTTTCAGGGACTGGCAAGAACAGTCAACAAAAAAGACAACACAAAATGCTCTCTACACACTAGAAATGGTGCCAGGAGTGGGATATACACTCTTAGGGCTTAGAAAATCATAGTATGATACTTTTTTAAAGATGATTATTTTATTTATGTATTTATTTATTGTTTTTTATTTTTATTTATTTTTATTTTTTGTAGAGACAGGGTCTCTGTGTCACCCAGGCTAGAGTACAATGGGCAATCATAGCTCACTACAGCCTCCAACTCCTGGGCTCAAGTGATCCTCCAACCTCAGCCTCCCAAGTAGCTAGCGCTACAGGCACGCGCCATCATGCTTGGCTATTTTTTTTTTTTTCAATTTTTGTAGAGACAGAGTCTCCCTAAGTTATCCAAGCTGGTCTTAAACTTCTGGCCTCAAGTGAATACAAATACCATAAACTGGGCAGCTTAAACAACAGAAACAAATTGTCTTGTAATTTTGGAGGCTAGAAGTTTGAGATGAAGGTGTCAGCAGGGTTGGTTCCCTCTGAGTCCTCTCTCCTTGTTGTGTAACTGGCCTTTTCCCCTCTGTGTCTCAAAAAAAAAAAAAAAAATAGGACCTCCTTCCTCTTCCCACTTCAGACAGCCTGTGGCACATAATAAACCTGGATTCTTACCCACCGGGACCCATCCTTTGGCACAAGTTTGTTTGTCTCATACCCAAAAGATCCTCACTGTTCCCCAAGAAGGGGGTCTCATTATCAAGGAACAGTAATTTTCACGATTAGAATGTCGGGAGGTGTGTTACAATAAACCAACTTTTGGTGATGATATTGTCTGAATCAGAAAAGATGAACTGAGGAGTGGAAAAGCAGTGTTTCTCCCACTGAGCTTTCTATTTTACAAATGTGACATTACCTCTGGCTTGCTTCCGCTGAAAAGACATTTCAGGAAGGAACATTTATTTCACTGCCACAAACAATACCGCACAAAAATGGTGCATAAATGTTCTCATGGGCACCCTTTTCCTTCCTCCATCCCCTGATACGGACCCATTCATTCTTTCTATAACTGACAGGAATTTCTCTCAAAGCTCCAAAAAGTGATGCCTGAAAATTAGATTATAATATGCATTTTCTATCATTCTATTTCAGGCATATCAAAATTTCTCATTCATACAAATGAGCTAGAATATTGTAGAATGCTTTGCTGAAAATACCAACAATTTACAATAAAGCCTTCACATTTAATCTGTACAATAATGATTTGACCATTAATGAAACTGAAAAAAGAAGCTGAAGAAAAAATGTAGGAAAAAAGGGGCTTATGTCAATAGACTACTTCTTTTTAGGAATATAAATCTGATAATTTTATTTTAAAATATTAACAGGTTGGTAAAACATTTTGTTTTATAAGCAACTAAATATTTTATTTTTAAAAGTTCTTCTATTTTACAATACAGAATGGAGATTTTATTTATTTTATTTATTTATTTATTTTTTTTTGGAGACAGAGTCAATTGAGTCTCCTGCCTCAGCCTCCTGAGTAGCTGGGACTACAGGCATGCATCATCATGCCTGGCTAATTTTTTTTATTTTTTAATAAAGTTGGAGTTCCGCCATGTTGGCCAGGCTGGTGAAAAAAATTCCTGATCTCAAGTGATACACCTGTCTCAGCCTTTCAAAGTGCTGGGATTACAGGTGTGAGCCACTGTACTTGGCCAGGAGATTTTATGTAAACATTGTGGTATGCAGAATAATGGCCCCCAAATATGTACATATTCTAATCTCCAGAATTTGTGAATATGCTATGAGAGGTGGAAGGAGGAATTAAGATTGCAGATGGCATTAAAGTTGCTAATCAGATTACCTTAAAATAAAATTATCCTGGATTATTGGGGTGGGCCCGAGGTAACTACAGGGGGTCCTTAAACAGAGAGGAGGAGAGCAAGGCAGAGGCACCAGAACCAGAGACTGGCATCAGGGAAATTGGGCCAGCCACTGCCAGCTTCAAAGATGGAGGGAGGGCCCCCAGCCAAGGAGTGTGAGCATGCTCCAAAGGCGGGAAAAGGCAAGAAGCAGATTCTCCAGCAGAGCTTCCGGAAGGGAATGCAACCCGGCCCACACCCTGATTTTAGCACAGTGAGATCAGTATCGAACATCTGACCTCCACAACAGCAAGTTAATAAATCTGAGGCCAGGCACAGTGGCTCACCCCTATAGTCCCAGTGCTTTAGGAGGCAGAGGCAGAAGGAGCACTTGTGATCAGGAGTTTCAGGCCAGCCTGAGCAACATAGCTATAGTCTGTCTCTACTTAATTAATTAGTTGATTTGTGTTGCTTTAAGCTACTGGGTTTGTAGCAACTTGTTACAGCCGCAATAAGGAACTCCTACACACAAATTAAACTGTTGGGAACTCATAATTTTTGGAAAGCCTCATCTGACCTTCTCCAAGAAGTCTTCTCCTGAACCACAATTTTGTGATAAGATCTTCACCCCTGCCCTCCCACAGCATACTGTGTGTTTATCTGTTACAGAATGTGGTAGACTGCACAGTGATTTTTCATTTATTTTTCTGTAATCTCTGCTAGACCAACAGTTCCATAAAGGTAGGGATAATGTCTTTAATTTCCACCTGAAGTTCTCGTCCCAAAACATTTATCCCTGGCCAGGCGCGGTGGCTCACACCTGTAATCCCAGCACTTTGGGAGGCCAAGGCAGGTGGATCACGAGGTCAGGAGTTCGAGACCAGCCTGGCCAACATGGTGAAACCCTGTCTCTACTAAAAATATAAAAATTAGCTGGGCGTGGTGGCACACACCTGTAATCCCAGCTACTCTGGAGGCTGAGGCAGGAGAATTGCTTGAACCCAGGAGGTGGAGGTTGCAGTGAGCCAAGATCAAGCCACTGCACTCTGGCCTGGGTGACAGAGCAAGGCTCTATCTTGAAAAAGAAAAAAAAAAAAAAAGACACACACACACACACACACACACACACACAGACACACATACACACACACACTTATCCAAAACTTAGCAGCAGCAAACTATATAGCCTATCCTGGGAGCTTAATATTTTTTCAAACAAAGAGTGACGATTACAAACCCACCTGCACTCTCACCCATGAAACCAATGATAAAAGTATTTTAAAGCATCACAACTATTACAAAATGGCTTGTCTCATAAAGAATGCAATCCATGACCACAAAACAGATAACAGGGCAAACACAGAGCCTTAACTACAATTGTTCTGTGTTGTAGCAGAGTGGGCTGGCGTGTCCTTCCCCAAGCTGTCAAGTCATTTACAGTGAAAACGGTGGCACCTTCGGTTACTGTTAAAAAGTCTAAACGTACTAAACAATTGGAATTTGCCCAATGGCTAGCCTTAGAAAATAAACAGTTGGAGAAAATACATTTTGTCTTTGGAAGTTCCCAACATTTGTTTTTCTCTCCCCATTTAATCATTTCCATTGGTGATGATGCTCTTTTCTGAGGTCCTCAGATACTTGCCAGCTCTTTCCTTACAATAATTTCCCTTAGAACATTATTCACTCTTAGTGTGAATTTAAGTAAGTGGGTCTTTGCATTTTAAGCATTTTGATCAATTTGGAACACAAGATATTGCCTCCTGTTAAAGTATTTTCAGTGTTAGCAAATACATGTTAAGGATGCCATGTGATTAACACATGTTTAGAGTAACACATGTTAAGGATAAAACACACATTAAGGATAGCATGTGATTAATCAGTGTTAAGGATGACAAACATATTAAGGCAGGCAGAGGTTTTTTTCTCTGCTTAAACTCCATTCCAAGCATTGCGCTGTGAGTTAGGGTCCAATCTAACAAGTTATTCCGAGGTCATTTTTGTTTTGTTTTGTTTTTTTGAGATGGAGTCTCCCTCTGTGGCTCAGGCTGGAGTGCGGTGGCGCGATCTCGGCTCACTGCAACCTCTGCCTCTCGGGCTCAAGCTATTCTCCTGCCTCAGCCTCCCGAGTAGCTGGGAATACAGGTGCCCACCACCGCGCCCTGCTAATTTTTGTATTTTTTTAGTAGAGACAGGGTTTCACCATGTTGGCCAGGATAGTTTCGACCCTCTTGACGTCAGGTGATCTGCCCTCCTCGGCCTCTCAAAGTGCTGGGATTCTAGGCGTGAGCCACCGTGCTTGGCCTATTCTGAGGTCATTTTAAACTTCATGACTTTTTCTATTACAGAAAGCAGAAATAAAGTTCACACCATGTATATTAAAAGCATGGGTAAGAGAAGTAAAACTTGCAAACCCTTAGAAGAAATAGAAGATAGTGTCACTATGGCCTTAAGGTAGGTGGGGGGAACTGAAGCAGCAGTTTCATTTCCTCCCATATGCGTTACGGCATTGATTGAACCTGTTCTCCAGTGACCTGCCTCAGTCATACCTTGCACCTCTCCATACAAGTGTCTCCCCTACATGGGAGCGTGTCTACTGCTGACTGTTCCTATTCTTTCTTTTGACCTCTTTGCCTCTCTTGGTGCCAATACCACACTGTCGTATGTAAGACAGTTTTGTAAGACTTTCTAAGTCTTTAAAAACAGGTACTTAGTAAGAAGGCTTGCCTTAATAGCAGGGAGAAGAAGTCCTCTACCCGGATCTTCTTCAAAGCTGACTTGCCCATTCCTGAATCTTTTCTCCTTCGTATGTATTTCAGGCTCACTTCATGCTTCTGCTCTTCTGGGCTCTTTACTGCAATCATATTGCATTTTTAGTAAGGACTGACCACTTTATCAAATTGAATTTCTCATTTATGAACATAGTATGTTTTGCCATTTATTTAGATTTTTGTAAAGGTCCTTCATTCAAGTGTTTTTGCTAAATTCACAATTAGATACTCCCATGGATTCTTCCCATTCAAAAGGGAGTTGATTTTTTTCCCACTCAGGTGAGAGCTGCAGCTTGCATGTAGAATGGAGTTGCTGCTACCTGTTTTGCTTACCAATTTATAGTATGTGTGTGATATATGAAAAATGATACATATGAGTATTTTAGTATATGCATAGCATTTAATTATATAAATATGTTAAATTTTATTTAAGAAAACTCTTCCTGATAGGCTTTTATGTTGTTCTATATTTGTTTGTAGTCAAAAAATGCTGCAGGGAACATTTATACTTTTATATCACTGCGCCCTTGTGAGAATGCAACTGTGGGAGAAATTTCATGAAGTGAAATGTCTGGTAAAAAAGTGCATGCATTTACAATTTATGTAGATAATGCTGAAGTGCTTTAAAAAAAAGGCAAGAAAAATATAGTGCTACCCAGTAGCACTATACTATACTACCCAGAGGATGAAAATACATAATTACCATCACTTCACAAACCTCACTAGCCTGTGTTTTATGAAACAGTCTTATCCAATAGATAAAATAATAAATATCCCATCATTACTGTGACTTTTCTTTAGTTATAAGTAACCCTGGGTTTTTTCCTTACATGTGTATACACATTTGTAAAGTTTTAAAAAATTATTAAGGGTCTGAGCCAAGAGAAAGTTAACACTTTAGGCTTTCTATAACAACTTAAAACACCCAAAGTTAAACTAAATTTAAGGAAAGAGCTGATCTCCCTCAAAGGTGGAAATCAGGGAACATACCTAGAAGCAAAAGTTAAATCACAATCAGCCTAACTAATTTGAATTTCTCAATGGGTGATTTTAAACAGAAAACACGTTGAAAGCTGAAGTCAATGCTGTGGCTGCTGTCACAAGTAAGACCTGAGATGATAAAATTATGGAATTTTAGGGTGGAAAGTAAACTTGAAGAAAATCTGGCCTCATCTTTTTTGACAGGTGAGTCTGTCTTTGTAAGTTCAACAGAAATATGAAATGTTTTATTCAAACTCATAAGCAGCAAAGTTCAGTGGCTAGCAAATAGGTAACACTATAATCATTTGTGGAGTGAACAAGAATGAAGGAATGAATGAATGAATGAACGGTACTAGGATTGGCACCTGGGTTTCCAGAAAGTAGGAGGCTCTTTCTCCTTACGCTTTGCCATTAATAGTCAGTGTGCTGACATTCCATACATTTCTATAATCCTACATTTAGAGGCACTGAGCTAATCCCTTGTTTTTAATTTCCGACAATCATCACTTTTAATTTATGATGAATTCAGAAATAAAGGGTTTCCAAAAGCATGTATTATGTTCATGACATGTAACCTTGGAAAACACCATATTTGGTTAAATCACTGCATATTTTTCTTTCAGAGGTAAAAGTGCTTTGACATCTCTGTATTTGTTTGCTAAAGCCAGGGTAACAAAGTACTGCAAACTGGGTAGATTAGAAAAAAAGAAATTTGTTATGTCGCCGTTGTGGAAGTTAGAAGTCCAGGATCCAGATATCGCAGGATTGCTTTCTTCTGAGCTTGAAGGCTGAGTCTGTTCCATGCTGCATCCTGAAGTTATGGTTATTGGCTGGTGACCCTTAGCATTCCTTGGCTTGTAAAGGTTTCACCCCCAATATTTGCCTTTATCTTCACCTGGCATTTTCCGTGTGTGTGCATGTCTGTCTCTGCATCCAAATTTTCCCTTTTTATAAGGACATGAACCATCCTGGAGTTAGGCCCACCCAATGATGTCATTTTAGCTTAATTATTTCTGTAAAGACCATCTCCAAACAAAGTCACACTCTGAGATACTGGGGGTTAGGACCCCAACATATCTTTTTGAGTAGACACAATTAAACCTTTAATACTTAATATTCACTTGATTGCCCTTCTAAGTTCCAGTCACAATCTATTCTGATTTTTTTTTAAATTGCTTTCTAATTTCGCTAAAACAATGAATTTCACTATAACATAGGATATGTTTTTGTAACATAGCAAATTGCATAGACAAGTTCGGATTTTTAATTTCTGTGTTGGAGTCATTTGTGTTAATATAAACTGAGACTACCTGTAGGTGTTAACATTAGGTTGAATGCTATTCGAAATAATTATTTGTAAATGTTTGGGCATTTGTTTATCTAGGTTATCCATCAGTGACATTTGAATGCTATGGGAACACACTCTGAAGCCTTAATTATTAGACTTACACAGCATCTATTTTCAAAGAAATAAAAACACTATAACCTTCCAGTGTTTCATTTTCCTGGCCACTCACAATAGGGTTAATGATACCCAACTGTCTCCCCCAAGATCAGAGATGTTATGATGACCTATTAATATGTATGACCCATGAAAGGAAAATAATATCTCGGGAACCCAAATCAGTAAGCTAAAGGGAAAAATCAAGCTGGGAACTGTGAAACCTGCCTCCCATTTTATTTCTAAGTAAGACAGCTATAAGGATTTTAAAAAGCCACATACTTTTCTCACAATTTGTCCACAAGGAAATTCCTTGTGGACCAAGGACAGGCAGAACTCAAAGTCATCCTCCTGAGGCTCACGGGTGAGACAAACGCATATCTGATCACTTCCTCTGCCCCATTGTTTCACTGAGTCAGACTAAGGCATCAGTGACTGCTTCTCTACCCTCCTCTCAAATATAAGTTGTGTGTTCAGTGAAAGTCTAATCAGAGACTCAAAATAATGCAACCATTTCCTTCTTATCTACCTACAACCTGGAAGCCCCCACTTGGAGTTGCCCTGCCATTTCGGACCCAACCAATCTACATTTTACATATATTGGTGGATGTCTCATATCTCCCTAAAATGTATAAAAGCAAGTTGTGGCCAGGCGCGGTGGCTCACGCCTGTAATCCCAATACTTTGGGAGGCGGAGGCGGGCAAATCACGAGGTCAGGAGTTCGAGACCAGCCTGACCAATATGGTGAAACCCCGTCTCTACTAAAAATACAAAAAAAAAAAAAATTAGCTGGGCATAGTGGTGGGTGCCTGTAATCCCAGCTACTCGGGAAGCTGAAGCAGGAGACTCGCTTGAGCCCGGGAGGCTGAGGTTGCACTGAGCCAAGATTGCGCCACTGCAATCCAGCCAGGGCGACAGAGTGAGACACGGTATTAAAAAAAAAAAAAAAAAAAAGTTGTGCCACGACCATGTTGGCCACATGTCATCTGGACCTCCTGGGGCTGTGTCATGGGCATGCCCTTAACCTTGGCAAAATTAACTTTCTAAATTGATTGAGACCTAGATCGGATATTTTGTGTGCACACACCCAAATTCTCCCTAGAAGACGGGTGATGCGCAGAGCGTGTTTGTGTCTGTCGCTCCTATTATTGCCTGTGTTCTGGTTCCTTTGGGCTCTTCAATAAGGAGGTACGTGTTTACCTGCAGCCCAGAACTGGCTGCCCTATGGAGAGTTTAGGGTAGACACGTTGGGACTTTTTCCCACAGTATTACCTTCCACATTGCTTCCAAAGTTTTAGCTTGTTCAAGCCGACTGCAGCCATCTACTTACCATTTAATTTTTAATTTTTTTTTTCAGAGCCCATTAGGAGACAGAGGGAGATTTGAGCCTGTTTGTATTCGTGATACAAGGGGAAAAAAAGAGGGAGAAGGTGAAGGGAGGAAGGAAGAGAGGCTCTGAGAAACCCGGAAGGTCAGACTTGGTGCGGACTTCCTCCAAGGGCTACCCCACCCTCTCCAAGCGTGGCTAATCCCAGGGCCCCTTCTGGCCCACAGTGCAGAACCACCCACTCCTACGGGGGCCTCCTTCAGCCTCTCTGGGGGTTCCCAGAAGGGCCCTTGGGCACTTGGGCAATGTCAGGGGGCTCAGGTGCATCTTCCTAGACACGAAACGAAGAGGAAAGCGGAGGCAGCAGCGGGGGCCACAGGCTCCCATGCAGCAGCTCGGAGCTGTGCTGTGCTTCGCTGGCGGCCATCCGTGATACGTGTGACACCGTGGGGCCCTGGCCCTGGGACCTGCCATGCAGCCTTGAGATCTCATCCAAGAAGCCCCCAGACCCCAAGGTTCAGGCCTGGCGGGGCAGCAGAACGCCTTTGGAGCTCAGCTCAGCCCTACAAACAGGACCAACGCCCACACCAAGGCCAGAGAGGGCTACCAAGTTTCACCTGGCCCAGCTTCCGGCAGCCCCCAACCAGGCCACTACCCTCACCTGAACACCGCGGTCCATCACCAAGCCCCACCCACTTCTGCCAGCCCTGCCCCCACAAGGACCCACCTCTCGCATGCAAGCCCCGCCCCCAAGGCCCAGCTCACCTGCAGCCCCGCCCCACCAGGCTCCACCCCATCGCCTGCAAGCCCCATCCCCAAGGCCCAGCTCACTTGCATCCCCGCCCACTAGGCTCCACCCTGTCACCTGCAAGCCCCGCCCCCAAGGCTCAGCTCACTTGCAATCCCCTCTCCCACTGGTCTCCACTCCTCACCTGCAAAGAGCCACCCCTCGCTAAGCCCCTCCCATCACTTGCACAGCCCCACCCAACACAGCACGCCATTCCAGGAGCCCCTCTTTTCACCAGCGCAGCCCCGCCCTTCACCAGGCCCCACTTCATCTGCATACACACGCCTCTCGCCACGCCCCACTTCTCGCCTGCCCACTTCCCCCTCCTATCATCTGTCCACATCCTGCTGCTGGCCGAACCCCGCCCCTTTCGGCAAGACGGCCCCGCCCCTTTCTACCCGTACCACGCCCCTCGCCTTGCCCGCCTCCTTCGGCACGTCGGCCCCGCCCCTCCCGCCCATCTCCGTCCGCACCGCCCTCCCGCCCGTCCCAGAGCAGTGGAGGCCTACCCTTTTCACCTACAGCCTATCGCAGAGGACGTCGCTGTTCGCGTTGACCAATAGGAGTGGTAGCTGTCACGGCAAGCCCCGCCCCGCGCCCTGCGTCGGGTTAAGAGGGGGTTCCTCGCCAGCCAGGTGCTCGTCATGCGCAATGTGGCGCTGCGGCGGGCGGCAGGGCCTGTGTGTGCTGAGGCGGCTGAGCGGCGGGTGAGACGCTGCGACGGGAGGCGCTCGGCGCGCTGGTACCCGGGAGGGGAGGGTCCAGGGCAGGCCGGAGGCGTAGGGGTCCTCGTCCCTGCGCCCGGGGCTGGCAGCTCCCCAAGCTGTGGGCGTCCCGCACCCCGAGCCCTTCCTGGAGCTCCCGCATCCGAGGCTCCGAGGCCGGAGGACCTCGGAGCTCCTTCCTACTCCCAGGGGCGATGCCCCGGGCTGGGGGCCGGGCCTGCCCGCGGCGCTCCCGGCGGGGCCCTCCATTAGCGTGGGCTTTAACGGGGGTAGTAAATGGGGTCGGCATTTGCGGTTCTCGCTGACAGCTTTGCTCCTAGTTCATTTTTGTTGGGAGGCCGAGTCCTTAAGAGACCCGAGGCGCCCACAGCCCATACTTAAAGTCTCGCTGTGTTCAGAGAACTGACGCCTCCCGGAATTGAACTGTTTTGTTTTTTTAATGACTCAATTTATGGGGAAAAAAATGACGAAGCAGTTTAGTGTTCATGGTAATCCACGAGCCCGTGTTTAATATAAGGTAATAGTTCAGCGCTGCCGGCCCAGGCCGGGAGGCACGGGGCGTCCGTGGCATGAGTTCGGCCTGGCCTTACCGCTCAGGAGTTTCCTATCATGTCCTTGATAAGTAACTTCTTAAAACGCTTCTGTCCCATAATTCTGAAATTTGCTAAATCAGTAAGCAAATGTTGGTTATAGCATATCTTCATAATATTGCCAGTGACTGAATAGGTTTTTTCTTCCTGTACATATTATCTTTAAAATAAATATTTCGGTGGGATACATTAATGTAGAAAATCCCATACGACATATAATACAATTGGAGAGAATAATAATTACGTGTTTTTTAAGAGCAGGGATCTTGCTCTGTTTCCCAGGCTGGTTTGATCCCCCTCCTCAGCCTCTCGCATTGCGGGGTTACAGGTGTGAGCCATCTCATTCAGGTGAGAATAATTATTAGAAATAGGTTGGGCGCGGTGGCTCACACCTGTAATCCCAGCATGTTGGGAGGCCAAGGCGGGCAGACCACTTGAGGTCAGGAGTTCAAGACCAGCCTGGCCGACATGGTGAAACTGTCTCTACTAAAAATACAAAAATTAGCTGGGCGTAGTAGTGAGCACTTGTAGTCCCAGCCACTCAGGAGGCTGAGACAGAATTGCTTGAACCCGGGAGGTGGAGGTTGCAGTGAGTCGAGATTGCACCGCTGCACTCCAGCCTGGGCAACAGAGTGAGATCTGTCTCAAAAAAGAAAATTAGTGTCCCTGTGACCAAGTTGAAGATTCCCCTAACTGCTCGTAACTCTCTCCCTCCCTCTTAGATTATCACGGTCATAACATACAGAAATGTCCTTGCTTTTTTTTTTTTTAATATTTTACCATTTTTATGCGTTCTGACAATGTCTTGTTACCTATTTGAATAATACCTGTTTAGGATAATACTGTATCATGTGTATCTTTTGTTTCACGTTATGTGACCCATATCTTTGTTACATGCCACTGTAGGCCCTTATATTGGTAAGGTTTTTTTTTTTTTTTTTTTTTTTTTTTTTTTTTTTTTAATTGAACGATTAGTCCGCACTTTATCCATTCTCTGTCGATACACCTCCGGGTGAGTTGAGTTTGGGACTGTCAGGGTTCGTGCTGACATTTTTGTCTGTGAGTGCTGGGGCCGCAGTGTAAGGTGTGGACGATAGAGACCAAGAGGTGAATGGATTTCCAATCTTCAGCATTTTTTTCTTTTTTTTCCGACAGTCTTGCTCTGTCACCCAGGCTGGAGTGCAGTGGCGTGATCTCGGCCCACTGCAGCCTCCACTTCCCGGGTTCAAGCGATTCTCCTGCCTCAGCCTCCCAAGTATCTGGGACTACAGGCACCTGCCACCACATCAGGCTAATTTTTGGCCAGGCTGGTCTCGAACTCCTGACCTCAGGTGATCCGCCCACCCAGGCCTCCCAAAGTGCTGGGATTACAGACGTAAGCCACCACGCCCGGCCTCTTCAGCCTTTCTAAAGAATGCCAAGTGCTTTTCCAAAGTTATTCCACTTTGTACTCCCTGTAGCAGTGTATGAGAGTTCCCGGTAATATTAGGCTTTTTAAGTTTTCAGCAATTCGGTAGGCATGTAATGGGATTTAACTGTAGTGTGAATTTCTTGGTATACTGTGAAGGCTTTTGAGGATTCTGTGAAGGAAAGAAGCCCTTTTGTTTAAGAGTTGTCTCTTAAACAAGGGGAATTTAAACTGTAATTGTATTATAGTTATTTGTGAACAAGTGTAAAGAAAAGGTTTCCAACATTGAAGCTTTAGTTAAGATAAAGATCATTAAAATGGAAAGGACCTTACCAGAAATCAGTTTTCTGGAATGTGCAAGACTTTGGAAGATGCAATATTTAATTTTTCTTTAATAATCTTTATTACATGAGAGTATTTTCACTATGTGGCTGAATAATGTTAGCCAGATACTTTTCCTGCAACTCATCTAACTTAGATGACTTTTAATCTAGACATGCACACCACAGAGCGTGGCGATGGAACAGTAACCGGGCTTGTGAGAGGGCTCTGCAGTATAAACTAGGAGACAAGATCCATGGATTCACCGTAAACCAGGTATGGGTCGTCCTCGGCACCTCCTTATAAATCCACATACATTGCAGGTGCGGCTTCTGGCCTATGTACGGAGCCCTTCAGGGCGGAGACTAGCGTTTTTGTCCTTGTGTCCCAAGGCCCTGGCCCAGCTCCTGCTGTGTGGCAGCTACTCGGCTGAACAGAGCTTGTGAGTGAAATGAGCCCCAGTCCCTTCCTGGAATCCCGCAAAGCCTGGTTCTTGTGAGATTTTAGAGAGTAACACTTCCAGCTGGGTCTCTGTAATCAGACACACTAGCGTTTCTGCAGCCAAACCTGATGTTTCACTGAGCATGAGCATGAAGACTCACTGCCCTGATCTGTTTAGTCAGGTTTTGCCATCAAATAGCTTGCTCTAAACGTCCGCAGAACCTTTCAGTTTTCTGAGCCATTCGGGTTTCAGAATGATAAAGAAGCAATTGTGGACCTGTACTTACTTGGGTCTGTATTAAAATAGATTCATTTGGTTTTTGTTTTGTTATTTTGCCTAAACCTTTTGCATTGTTTCTATTTAGCATGGTAACTGAAAATGACACGCTTCATGTATTTGGCCAGCTGTTGGCTTTGTGCTATGCTTGATGTTATAGCAAACGTGAAAGACAAACAGCTTACTGTCTAGAAAGACTGCTGCGGCTGTGACCGGAGGCACATGGTGGACGCCACGCGGAGGGCCAAGGACAAGGGCAGGAGGAGGAGTGGGAGCTGCTGCTGCTGGGGGCAGAGGGAAGAGCTCCTGGAGAGGGTGGTGTGAGAACGTGGCTGCCTTCGGTCAGGGCTCCAGCAAGGGAGCCAGGGCAGTGACTAGGGTGCGCCAGACAAGGTCCAGGCATGGGACTCATGAAAAGACTTGGAGCGTTTGTGAAATCCTGCAAAGGCCAGGCAAAGACACTTGGGTTTATGGTACAGGTTACTGTTAATAAGGGCCTCACCCACAGCGGTAGATTCTCCTCCTTTATTTCTCAAATTTTATAGAAACGTATTTACTTTTGAGACTGGGACTCACCCTGTCGCCCAGGCTGGAGTGTGGTGGTATGATCTTGGCTCACTGCAGCCTCGAACTCCTGGGCTCAAGCGATCCTCTTGCCAAGTAGCTGGGACAAGGTGCCACCACGCCTGGCTAATTGTGTGTGTGTGTGTGTGTGTGTGTGTGTGTGTGTGTGTGTGTGTGTGTGTAGATGGAAACTTTGTTGCCTAGACTGGTCTCAAACTCCTGGGTTCAAGCAATCCTTTTGCTTGTGTATTAGTCTAGTCTCACACTGCTATGAAGAAATACCCAAGACTGGGTAATTTATAAAGTATGAGCTAAAAAGTGAAGAGGTTTAATTGACTCACAGTTCTGCATGGCTGGGGAGGCCTCAGGAAACACAATCGTGGTGGAAGGCATCTCTTCACAGGGCGGCAGGGGAGAGAATGAGGATCAAGTGAAGGGGGAAGCCCCTTATAAAACCGTCAGCTCTCATGAGAACGTGCTCACTGTCACGAGAATAACATGGAGGAAACCGCCCTCTTGATTCAATTACCTCCCACCAGGTCCCTCCCACAACATGTGGGGATTATGGAAACTACAATTCAAGATGAGATTTGGGTGGGGACACAGCCAAACCATATCACCTTGGCCTTCCAAAGTGCTGGGATTATAGGTGTGAGCCACTGTGTCCAGCCATAGAAACTTACGATAAGTCATGATTCTTGTTTGAGAAATAGCTACCATGAAAGCTATTATTATTAAAGCTATATATTATTAGAAAGCAAACATCTCACTGTATCTGCTGACTTCAAAAGCATTGATCATCTGTTACAAAGTACAGTGAGCTTGGAAACAGAAGTAATTTCGCGGCGGTAGATGATGCAGGTCATAGTGGTCTGCTTTATGCATGACTGTTGCGTGGCAGGCTCCCTAGATTGGGCTGAGGAGACCCGAGGTCTGACCTTGGCCAGCGACTTACTGTGTGCGCTTGGCCAGGTGACTCATGGCACCTGGCAGGAGGGGGTGGTGAGTGGTGTGGTGATCACAGGGACGTGGTGTGTGATTGAGGGAGAGGGCCGGCTGGCATGACTGGAAGAGAAGACAGTTTCTTTCATACCGAGGAGTATGGTCACTTACCAGGAGGCTTACCTAAAGTAGGAGATGACCTTCCACGCCGCCCCAGGAGTGGGGAGTCTTTCGTCTGTCTTGTGGGCATTTCTATCCTCCCGGCCCCTCCAGCTGTTCTGGAAGCCACAGCTTTGTGCTTCTAGCTACCACCGAGAACCCATCCTAAACTAAGAGAAGCAAAGGCTGATCCTAGAGCCTCTCCCTGCTGTCGCAGGCTAGCCCACTCTAGCATTTCCCCTCCTTGCAGGCCCGTTCTGCGCACTACAGGAGATGATATGCACAGAAACAGACACACAGCCAACGTTGGAAGGGGTGCTGTGTTACTGAGGCGCAGCACACAAAAGCAGGAGACACTCAGCAGACATTGGAAGGGGCGCTGTGTTACTGAGGCACAGCACACAAAAGCAGGAGACACTCAGCAGACATTGGAAAGGGCGCTCTGTTACTTAGGTGCAGCATGGTACCATGGGAAGGGCAGACACCAGGGTGAATCCTGGCTCTGTGATTTAGGCAGCTTATTTCATCACCCTGAGCCTCGGTTTTTTCGTCTGTAAATGAGTATGAGAATACCTCCCTCACAGGATTATATGTGACATGATTAGAAAATGCCTAGCCAAAAAAAGAATAAAAAATTTAAAAAATAAAAAAATCTAAAATACCTAGCCAGTAGTAAGCGCGTGCGCTCTCGCGCTCGCTCGCTCGCTCGCTCTCTCTCTCTTTCTATACACACACACACATATTCTCATCTGCCTTTTTTAGGTCTGTCTTTCCTTGTTTGTAGGATAAGGGACCTGGACAAGATGGTTCTCTTCTCTCCAGCTCTGAAATACTGCCTTCCCGGCATCATCTAATTTCAGGCAGAAAAGCCAGTTTTCTCAGTGTGTCGAACATAACCATTTCAAAGGCCATTTTGTCTAAGTTTAACTGGTCGTGTTTTTCTTGTTAACTCAGGTGACATCTGTTCCCGAGCTGTTCCTGACTGCAGTGAAGCTCACCCATGATGACACAGGAGCCAGGTATTTACACCTGGCCAGAGAAGACACGAATAATCTGTTCAGGTGTGTGGTGCATTGTAAGAACATGGTCTTGAATGTTTTTATTTAAATCAGGAATGTCCATTCTTTTGGCTTCCCTGTGCCACAATGGAAGAAGAACAACTGTCTTAGGCCACGCATAAAATACACTAACACTAAGGACAGCTGATGAGCTAAAAATAATAAATAAAGGACCCCTCAATGTTTTAAGAAAGTGTATGAATTTGTGTTGGGCTGCATTTCAAGCCATCCTGAGCATGCGGGCTGCAGGCTGCGGGTTGGACAAGCTTGATTTAAAACATGGCTATACATTACGTGGTTTAAAATATCATCTCACTAGTATTTTTATTGACAGAGCATCTTGAAAAATAAGGAAAAGTTTACACTGACTTATAATCTCATCAAAATACAATTTTACAGTCTGAGTCAATGATTTACATTATAGTTGGAAAACCCTGTGCTGGAGGATTGTGGTGTCAGAATGATGATTTCTAGTAGCCTGAGGTGATGATGCATCTGGGAACTGTGTCCGCAGCACTAAGCTGAACCTTTTGCGTTCTGGTCATTCTCCTTCCCTAGCGTGCAGTTCCGTACTACTCCCATGGACAGTACTGGTGTTCCTCACATTCTTGAGCATACCGTCCTTTGTGGGTCTCAGAAATATCCGTGCAGAGACCCTTTCTTCAAAATGTTGAACCGGTCCCTCTCCACGTTCATGAACGCCTTCACAGGTAAGACCAGCATCCTGAACAGAAACTGCTTTTGGGTTTGCCAGGCACACCCACTGGAATTCAGTTAGTTTCTGAGAAGGAATGAGGGGAGTGGGCAATTCATGTTCTAGAAAAATTTTTACCTCTCTCTAGTTGAAGGACATTAGAAATTTAATCCTTCAGGAAAGCCACATGGTAGCGAGATTGTAAAAACTAGCGTTTTAAGAAAACATATGTGAACTTTTCCCAGAAAAGTTCAAAACAATTTTCTCTTGGAGATATCGCTACAATGCCAGAGTTACTACTAATGTTGATGTTTGACTTTTAGTAAGACTGACGATAGTGGATAGGGTGACGATGAACAGTGCATTCTGTGGGGGAGTGACATTGAAGAGCGGGTTAAATCCATGCTGTTACAGAATGAGGTCATCTTTGTAGATGTATGAAAGTCTCTGGAGAAACTTGAGAGAGTTTAGATATTCGCTGAAGAAAGCCCTGGTGCCCGTCGAGTGCAGATCCTGAGACGGGATGGGAAAGCCGGCACTTGGGGTTATGAGCTGGGACAGCTGCTGAGGCCAGGGACCAGAGCATGGGGCCACTGCCCCATCCCAAGAATAGCTACAGCTTACTGTCCTAGGACAAAGGGGGAATGAGTCTTGAGAGTCAATAATTTTAGTAGAAATCTGTTATATTTTACAATTTCACTTTTCATTTGTACCCAGCTAGTGATTATACTCTGTATCCATTTTCCACACAAAATCCCAAGGACTTTCAGAATCTCCTCTCGGTGTATTTGGATGCCACCTTTTTCCCATGTTTACGCGAGCTGGATTTCTGGTATGTCATGAATGATTAACTAGTTGATACAGACTTTAGTATTTGAGTCACTATCAGCTTATAATGATTTGTCCTCAGGCAGGAAGGATGGCGGCTGGAACATGAGAATCCGAGCGACCCCCAGACGCCCTTGGTCTTTAAAGGAGTCGTCTTTAATGAGATGAAGGGAGCGTTTGTAAGTTTTCTTCCTTTTTTATGTTGTGTTCAGCTTACCTTTCCCATGTACAATATCATGATATAGACACATCTGGAAGATTTTATTTAATATTCTCATTATAGGTGATACATTCTTGAATTAGCTGGGGTCAGTGCTGTGAGCAGAAGTCGGGGTAGCAGGGCCAGGCTGCTGTTCTTCCCAGCAGGTCTCAGACCATGTCTGGGGACCCCTGGTATGTGATCTGCAGCAAGTCTGTGAGATAAAAGCTATTTTCATACCACTACCAAGACAGTGTCTTTTCATTCATTCTTGCCCAAGTACACGGTGTACTTTCTAGAGGCTGCATGGCAAGGTGTGTGACACACAGCGAGCTGCATACAGAGCAAATGGGGGAGTCCAGCTTCACCTCTGAGCCAGACGCTACAGAGATTTGCAAAAAAGGCAACACAGCACCACTCTAATCAGTTTTTTACTTTGTTATGAGAAGTATTTTTCAAAAATATTTATATCAACATGTAATGATGGCTTACCTTAATGAATAAGTATTTTTTAAATGTCTCAGCTTTAATTTAGAATATAGAAAAATTATATAAACACACACAGGCACCTACACAGGCAAAAACGCCCACATAATCAAAAGCTGTTTGGGTCCTCATTAAAACGCATTTATGCCTAGTGTTCCATTATTGGCACCCTAAGCTTGTGGGAGTTATTTATGTCCTACAGCTCAAGGTCATCGCCAAGGTCTGATTTTTTACAAAAAAATTGCAACCTCAGGCATAAATGGGTTAATTTTTCAGAGTGTAAAGGATTCTTGAGACCATTTTGGATTAAGAGCTGCTGTCCTGGGCCCATGTCTTCATGTCCCTTTGTGACTTGGACAACCTGTCTGTCCTGGTGTCCCTGAGGCTCATGGGTGGCCTGCTCTCTGATTCCCGTAGCTCCTCTCGGCTGGTGAACTATTTCTTACCTTTTCATTCTCAATTTGGTGGTCTTTTCTTCCAAGGAGTCTTCTTGAACTCAAGTTGGGGTGACAGCTTCTCCCCACTTCCCTCACGGCTGGTGGGCAGACCGACTGATCCATCCCGATTTACAGCCCTCAGCTATGCGTTTGTTGCACCACACATCAAAAAATCCATTGTTCTTCTCAATCCTTGGGTCCTGTGCGTGGGTGATGAATGATTGAATACCGTGTTAAACAATGCCTGCGTGGGTGTTTTTTTTTTTTTTTTAAACCATTAGAACAGCTTTATTTGCAAAGTATTACAGGTGTATGCACCAGAATGTGATCAATTGGCTATATTGTAAGTAATGTAACGTGTGTATTATTTTACATGTATACTTATGATTTATTTATTTTACGTTTCAAGACAGACAATGAGAGGATATTCTCCCAGCACCTTCAGAACAGACTTCTTCCTGACCACACGTACTCAGTGGTCTCCGGGGGTGACCCACTGTGCATCCCGGAGCTTACATGGGAGCAGCTTAAGCAGTTTCATGCCACTCACTATCACCCAAGCAATGCTAGGTAATATTTTGTTGGAAAAGTTTGATGGTGGATTGTGAAAAGTTGACTTGTTTGTGTTCTTAACAGTTTATGGCATGGCTTCTCTCACATTTAGCAATGCTTAAGAAATATCTAAGTCTAGGTAAGATTCTTGGCCTAAGTTTGCCTATCTTACTTGGACATTGATTTTGGACATTTACAATGATAGCCCTCAGGAGGCTCAGCATGGTGGTTACAAACACAGCGTTTAGAGTCCCCCAGAGGAGGGTCCTGGCCCCGCAGCCTGTTGCCTCACATCTAGCTTGGTTGCGTGGAAAGTGGGGGTGCATGGATGGTGCCCACCTTGACACGGGGTGTGAAGCTTGAAGCCCTCTCCTTGGCACGGAGAAGTGCTCTTCCAATAGTGGATGCAGTTACTGAACCTTAATTACATCCTCACTTTCTGATACATTGCTTGTTCTTATGTCACTAATACAAGGTCATTATAATAATAATATAGTCATATATCTTATATAAAACACTAATTGTATTTACATATGAATGCTAATGTAAAAACATATTTGCAAGATTATTTTATGTAAAAATAATTATGAAAACTTGAAGCATACAGAAAAGTAGAGATACTAGAATAATGAGCCCCTAAACACTTATCATGTAATAGATATCCTTTCCCTTGCTGAAGTTTTTGGAAGTAAATTATAGACGTCATGATCATTTGCCCGTAAATGTTTGAATTTGTGACCCTAAAACGTGAGGATTTTTTCTTACATGAGCTAATGCCATTTTCAGTTTTAATAGAATAAAACATACTTTCTTAAAACTGCCTATTTCTTATTCCATATTCAGATTTTCTAGTTGGCCCCAAAGTGTTTGTTGCACGGGGTCCCACAGGTCACACCTGGTCGGCCCGGGTTTCTCCTGGGCACCCTCTAGGGGACGGCAGAGGAGTGTGCAGGCCCAGTTTCTTTCTGGCGCACTCACTTTCCAGGTGGCCTGGCTGTTCCCGCCTGGTGTTGGGTGCCATGTTCCTGTGTTTCCTGAGCACTGGAACTTAGATCCAAAGACTTAGTTTGAGTCAGGCTGTGCCTTTGTAAGCAGAGTCCCTCATGGGGAGCTCTCCATAGACGGCCACATCCTACCATCATGTGAGGTCTGCTCGCCTCCACTGGGGATCTCACACCAGCGGGGTCCATGCTGAGAGTCAGCCACTGCCTTGGGAAGATCTGCTTTTTCCCTTCAGCCACAGACCATCTGGTGGGCTTGAGTTTCTGGTGTCCTGTGATAATGAGTTCCTCATCAACCTATTAATGGTTTTCATATTCATTGAGGATTATTGCCTGAATCAATTACTTTATTAGAGTTTGCGAAGTTTTCTAGTTCTGTAACTTCTTCATTTGTTTGCTGGACTTCTTCAAAGAAGAGCTCCACATCAGCTGGGCTATCGGGTTATCTTGAAATATGGTTCTGTGGAAAAGGCAGGGCCGGCTGCTCTCCCTGGGAAGTCCAGTTTGAGGAGGAGGGGTGGTGCAGGAACTACTTTTAATGGTGACAGAAGAGGCTGTCTTGTTTTTTTTTTTTTTTTTTTTTAAAGACAGGGTCTGGTTCTGTCCCCCAGGCTGGAGTACAGTGGCATGATCTTGTCTTACTGCAGCCTCAGCCTCCTGGGCCACCTCAGCCTCCTGAGTAGCTGGGACTACAGGCGCACGCCACCATGCCCAGCTAGTGCTTATATTTTTTTGTAGAGACAGAGTCTCGCCATGTTGCCCAGGCTGGTCTTGAACTTCTGAGTTCAGTCTGCCCACCTTGACCTCCCAAAGTGCTGGGATTACAGGTGTGAGCCACTGCGCCCAACATGGAGAAGAGAGTTCTTTCTTTTCTTCTTTTTTTTTTTTTTCCCCAGTCTTGTTTTGTTTTTTAGTACCACTCTGACCTCACAGAAATATTTCTGTATATGTATATATTTGAGATTATGTGATCAGATGGAATTTATTCATTTTTATGCCCACATTTGCCCCAGCTGTGGGCCCGTTTTGGTCTAACTTCTTTGGTTTCTACGCCCCCACCCCCACCTCCCTAATGCACGCACAGCCGGGCCCTCCCTGCTCCAGAGGTTCAACTGTCTGTTTCCCCAGGGAGCTCTGATTTCTGTGGCTAATGGGGAAGGGTCTTTGGAGAGCAGCATCTGAACACTAGGGGTGGTGATTGCTCCTGGATTCTCTCAACCCCGAGTGTGTAAAATTTGTTTCTAAATTCTAGAGTGAGAAATTTCTGAAGGTTCTGTAAGATACTAGTTTCCCAAACCTTAACCATAGCTCAGGCTATATAGTAAAGAAAAAGATAAATTCTGTCATTGTAACCTTTTTCCTCTGGTTGAATAAATGTGTTATCTTTATAAACGTGTATAACCTTGAATTTGTTGCCAAAAATTGAGTTTTGTGAAATTGTCAGTTGGATTACTATATTACTGTACCTAGGGTTATAAAGTGTTTTAACAAATACCTCATTTGGTTTTTGTCACATCTAGATGAAGTTTAAAATGTAAGATCGATTTTTGGCTAGGTGTGGTGGCTCATGCCTGCAAATCCAAGCACTTACGGAGGCCAAGATGGGAGGATTGCTTGAGGCCAGGAGTTTGAGACCAGCATGGGTAACATAGAACCCACCTCTAAAACTTAAAAATTAGCCGGTCAGGCACGGTGGCTCACGCCTGTAATTCCAGCACTTTGGGAGGCTGAGACGGGTGGATCACCTGAGGTCAGGAGTTCGAGACCAGCCTAACCAACATGGTGAAACCCTATCTCTACTAAAAATACAAAAATTAGCTGGGCATGGTGGTGGGCACCTGTAATCCCAGCAACTTGGGAGGCTGAGGCAGGAGAATCTTTTAAACCTGGGAGTCGGAGGTTGCAGTGAGCTGAGATTGTGCCATTGCACTCCAGCCTGGGGGGACGGGGCGAGACTCCATCTCAAAAAAAAAAACCCCCCACCAAAACCAAGTGTGGTGGTGTAGTCCTGGTAGTCCCGGCTACTGAGGAGGCTGAGGCTGGAGGATTGCTTGAGGCTGCAGTGAGCTGTGACGGTGCCACTGCACTCCAGCAGATGCCTGAAGCCAGGAATAGCACCATGCCCTGTGAATGAACGTTGAATTTATAAATTAGGCACAGCGAGAGGTTAACAACAATAACTAATAATAAAATAGAACAATTATAACAATATACTGTAATAAGTTACATGAATTTTGGTCTCTCGAAGTACCGTGATATTTTTGGACCTTGGTTGAGTAAGGGTGACTGAAACCGAAAGGCGAGACCTTGGGTAAGGGGCACTCCTGTGCTGTGTTTCAGTGAAACAGACAGCACTTGATCTCACATCTTTTAAACTAAAACAGACTAATTATATTCCCTTAAAATTTTAGGTTCTTCACGTACGGTAATTTTCCATTAGAACAGCATCTGAAACAAATTCACGAGGAAGCACTGAGCAAATTCCAGAAAATTGAACCAAGCACCGTGGTGCCAGCTCAGACACCCTGGGACAAGCCTGTGAGTGCCCCACCGTGTTTGTGTCCTTCCTGGTAAATATGTTGACATGAGGACTTGGACTGGGTATTGATGATGGGATTTCAGATGCTGTCATGTTTGGTACAGAGTATGGGAGAGCTTTTCAAGCTGAAAGAATGGTAATTTGTTTGAAAGGAAAGTTAACTTAGTGGAAAGCCTGTTTCGCTCCATTTCGTGTATCCAGATAACCTAGAGTAGTTGACAACCGTCAGACACTGTGCCTACTCACAACGTCACGTCATTTTACAGAGGGAATTCCAGATAACATGTGGCCCGGATTCATTTGCTACAGATCCCTCTAAACAAACAACCATCAGCGTTAGCTTCCTCTTACCGGAGTAAGTATATGCTGTCAAAGCTCATACAAGACAAAAACATGAGGAAAATGTTCCTATTAGAAGGTTCGGAAGTGAGTTCTACAATTGAATGTTAATTAATATACGGTTAGGATTCAGGGGTTAAGTGGATTTTAGGAATAGAGAACAAAATGTCGAAGTTTTTAATAACATCCAAAATGGTTTTTGAGGAAAATCGTTTTTGATAGCCCTCCGGAAGAAAAGTAATTTACTTATTGTATTTCAAAGCTTTATTCCTACAGAGAAAAGACTGCCTCAGACCAGCAGGTGCTCACATTTTGAGGTCACAGGTCCCTTTGAGTGTGAGAATGGTACTATGAACATGCACCTCGGCAAAATATATCACATACAAAACTTTGTAATTCCGGTGGTTTCACGAGACTAGGTCGGAACCATGCCCGGGGGTGTTCAGGAAGGGAAGGCTTGGGCTCTGGGCCCTCCCGTGCTCAGCCTGCAGCTCCGTGGCTGGCACCTCTCCTGGCTTGTTCCTTGTCTCCTTAATGGTGCTGCCACAGTGCCTGTGATTTAAATCACGTGTGAAAAGTGCTTGGCAGGCTGTCCCATGGTGAGCATTTCGTGTGCAGTGAAGTTAATTTGATGGTTTGTGCCCCCCTTCAAAAATCCCGGTATTTAAGGAAAATTCTCTTCTGCTCATAAAATTGTTAAATGTTGAAATGCAAGAATTTCTAGAAAGATGTGTAGTGGTTTTAAATAAAATGTGCATAAGGGCCAGTAATTTTCCCTTTACTCTTTTCTTACCTCCCCGTTCCTTTTTTTTTCAATGCAGCATCACCGACACATTTGAAGCCTTCACATTAAGTCTTCTGTCTTCACTCTTGACTTCTGGGCCCAATTCTCCCTTTTACAAAGCCTTGATTGAATCTGGCCTTGGCACAGACTTTTCTCCTGATGTTGGGTGAGTTTATGATTAGATTAGATCAGTAGTTCTCATTGGTTGGGGGCAGTTTTGCTCCTCCACCTCCGCACCCTGTCCCGGCCCCACACTTGACAGTGTCTGGAACATTTTTGGATTTTTGATTGCTATAATCGGAAGATGGCGGACCAGGAAGTTGCTGAGTGTCTCATGGTACACAGGATGGCCGCCCCCATCAGGGAACTCTGGATGAGATCCTGGATCCAGTGCCAGCCATTTGTGTCCCCCCAAGGGGACATTTGTCCAAAAGAAAAACACCCAGCACAAAGACAGCTTTTCCAGGGCCTCAGAATGTCATGCTGTTGTCTCTTACAGGTCAGGTCATTAAGTATTAGAATTTTTTTTTTAGATGGAGTCTCTCCCTGTCGCCCAGGCTGGAGTGCAGTGACGCGATCTCGGCTCACTGCAAGCTCCACCTCCCGGGTTCACACCATTCTCCTGCCTCAGCCTCCAGAGTAGCTGGGACTACAGGAATTTTTAAAATTTTGTAAATCTCAGCAGTTCTCTGTTTTGATATTTATCCTGCCATAACTCAAAAGTTTAAATTTTATTTTTAAAAAATGATGTAAAAATGACATGGATGTACACAGAACCAGTTACTTGAGAACACTGCTTTAATGAGCTTTTCAGTGGAGGGGCTGGAGTTTAAGGCGCTTCGTTCTGATCTTTAAATCAAGCATATTACGAGGGCATGATGAACGTGCCCGGATTCCAGTGCATCATTTCTGGTTTTGTCTTCTAGATATAATGGCTACACGAGGGAGGCCTACTTTAGTGTCGGCCTCCAAGGGATTGCGGAGAAAGACATTGAGACCGTCAGAAGCCTCATAGACAGAACGATTGATGAAGTAGTTGAGTGAGTGTAGCTTGTTTGTAACAATCTGCTTTCGTTCCTCATTCCTGTGTGCTTTTTGGGAGAAGCTGAGCCTGATCCATTGTTTCGGCCTTCCTTCTCTGTCATATAACATGCTTTTGTTCATATTTAGTTGTTTAAATATTATCTCTGCTACCTTCTGTTACTAAAACTCTTCAACATCTTAGGTTTTTGTTTTGTTTTGAGACAGGGTCTCGCTTTGTCACCCAGCCTGCTGTGCAGTGGCGTGATCTCAGCTCACTGCATTTTCCTCCCCTACCAGGCTCAGGTGATCCTTCCACCTCAGCCTCCCAAGTAGCTGGAACTAGGGTGCACACCACCATGCCCAGCTAATTTTTGTGTAGTAGAGATGGGCTTTCTCTGTGTTGCCCAAGCTGGTCTTAAATGCCTGGCCTCAAGCAGTCCTCCTGCCTTGGCCTCCCAAAGTGCTGGGATTACAAGCATGAGCCATTGTGTCTGGCCCATCTTTGTTCTTCATTGTATTCTTTAGGAAAGGATTTGAAGATGATCGAATTGAGGCTTTACTTCATAAAATTGAAATACAGATGAAACATCAGTCTACCAGCTTTGGGCTGATGCTGACATCAGTAAGTGATCTCTCAACAATTTTGTTTTTGTTTTATAATAGACATTTTGTCTTGTTACTAGCTTAACTGGCTTTTTGATATTTTTATGTGAAATAGATTACTTTAAATGGGTAAGGGTTTATAACTAGTAATCTGTTGGTTATTTCCTAAACATTATTTCAGCCTGTGCTTTTTATTTTATTGGAACAAAACAGGGCTAAAGTAAGTTTTTTTGTTTCTCCATCCAAAGAATTACATGACTTTTGTTATAAACAATCATCTGTGGTATATTTAAATACAGAAACTAGGATTTTAGTATCAAGTCTGGGCTGTTGGTGGAGGTTGTACTGTGGTACCAGCTGCATTGTGGATGTGGAAATCTTCCTTCCAGTACATAGCTTCTTGCTGGAACCATGATGGGGACCCTGTGGAGCTCTTGAAGTTGGGAAATCAGTTAGCTAAATTCAGACAGTGCCTGCAGGAAAATCCAAAATTTTTGCAAGAAAAAGTAAAACAGTATTTTAAGGTAAGAAAGTTGGATAATTCATTTCTCTAATTTTGAAGTTGAATTTTATACTAATGAAAGGAATATTAGGAACATAATCTATACATTTAAGTAATTTCTGTTAATGGGTGACTTAATTTCTAATTAAAAATTTAAATGCTTACATTAACTTAATTATTTTCCAGATTGTAATGCAAGTTGAGTTTTTTAGATAAATGTATATGTGCATTTTTAGTGTGTGAATATATGTATGTTTGTGTGTATGAACAAAACATCTGCATATATTGTTCTTTTATTAGTAGAAGAATATAAAATATGTGAACAGTCACCCAAATGTAATGAATCTTCTGGTTTTCATGAGTGAATTCTTTTGATGCTTGCGCGTTTGTTTTCTCAGATTTTTAGGCAGTTGTGCTTGGTTGCCTGTTCTTTGCTTTGTACTCATTACTATGGTAGAACTTTTAAAAAGGGTTCCCGTGGTGGGAGAGACTGTTGTCTGCTGTGAAGGGAAACTCTCCAGTAGGTTCCATTGTTTTAGACATGAGATATGATTTAATAATTTGACCTGCAGTTTCTCTCAGCTGTTGTAAGTTATTTTCCATGAACTTTCTGGTGTCTTCTAGTTATCTCACCTGTTTGTAGTATTTTATATGGGAGCATTTTGTGCATGTGTAGTTTTTTAATTGTTGAAACAAGGAAAGGACATGAAATCACCTAATGTTCATTTTTATATTAACGTCAACATGTATTTTGTTCTAATAACTTACGAAGTATTGAATGGGAAATGTAGTTCTAGCCTTTTAGAGCTTAATAGTAGAATGAACGCTAGACAAAAAATAGAATTCTATATTATCTTCAATTAGACTAAAATCCAAGATCTGTAGTACTTGAAAGTGCAAACCTTTTTACAACTAAGATGTAATGAAAATGTTTAGTATTGATATGTTTAAGACTTAATGACCATAATAATAATAACAGTAGAATAACAGCATATATGAATTCTGTGCTTACTACATAGGCAGGTATGGTGGTAAGCATTTTATAAGGCTTGTGTACTTGCATCAGCAAAACAACTCTTGAGGTGCGTTCTATTATTACTATTTTTAAAGTGGGAAAGTGGAACCACAGGACCAAGAACACACCAGCAGAAGCTTGTTGAGTGTTAGGATATAGTAAGATCTTGTTTTCACTTGGCTTTTGTTGTTGCTGTGATTGCTGCAGAATAACCAGCATAAGCTGACTTTATCGATGAGGCCAGATGACAAGTATCACGAGAAGCAGGCACAGGTGGAAGCCACGAAGCTCAAGCAGAAGGTCGAGGCTCTGTCCCCCGGAGACAGGCAGCAGATCTACGAGAAAGGTCAGAGGCTTCCTTCCGAGCTGGCGAGTCCCTAACCTGCACTCGGGCCTAGTGGACTTGTTAGTGAGTTAGTAGTTGGAGGCAGGTATTATTTCAACCAACAGGTGTCCGCTGGGCGCCAACAGAGCTCACGTTCGATGCATTGAGTTCAGATATTCTCAGAAAATCGCCCGTGTAGCTCAGTAGGAAACGCAGGAGTCATTGAAAAGAAGTAGCTTGAAAAGATGTATTTATTTTACAGATTTTGTAAATACTTTTATCAGGTGCCGTAATATGCCAGTACCATTGTTCTGCTGCAGTGCGTGTTGCCTGGCCTGTGAGCAGAGTGGACAGTTGAGAGCTGTGTGTTGGGAAGAGGCCTGTCTCAGGCATACCGGGTGTGTGCCAGCCACAGAGCAGCACCAGGATTCTGTGGGACAGGCGTGAGGCACACAGGGATGGTGGAGCGGTGGGCATGGAGGGAGGACAGCGTGTGTGGGGGAGACAGGTGTGCCCTGTGGCTCTGGGGAGGGCCTGTATGGAAGATGGGGAGCACACGGGTGCTTCATGTATTAAGGCAGGAGAACTGTCGGGTCAGTGAGCAGTGTAGCTGCAGCCTCATTCAGGATAGTTTTGCAGAAAAATAGAGAAATTGGATGGAGAAAACTGCTGAGAGGCAATTAGACACCTAAGCATGACATGACGACCTAGGCCAGGATGGTGGGAGTGAAAAGAAAAGTGAGACGGGGATTGGCAGCCGCTGGGGGAGCAGCCGGGTGGAACGAAGGAAGGGAGGAGGCCACGGGAGAGAAGGGGACCCAAATGGATTCTCAAAGGTAGTTTGGCCTCTGGGAAAAAACATTTGCAAAAATGGTGTCTGATAAAGGCCTGTATTCAGAATATACGAAAAACGAACAATTCAGTAATGAGAACACACAACCCAATTAACACATGGGTAAAAGATTTTGACAGATATCATCTAAGAGTTCCTAATGGCAAATAGGCACATAAATCATTACATGGGAAATAATCTCATTACTTTCTTAGGGAAATGTATCATAATTATTAGAAAAATGCAGATTAAAACTACAGTGATATACAATTATACACCTACTAGAATGACTAACATTTTAAAAATTACTGCCAGCACCAAATGCCATCAATCCTGAGAGGCAGGGGGAATGCTCACATGCTGCCAAAGGAGCCAAAATGGTGTGGCCACCTAGGAAACGGGGTCACAGTTCTCACAGTGCCAGCCAACATGCACGGACCAGGAAAGCCCCGCTCCTAACGTTCCTTCAAGAGAAATGAAAACAGGCGTCCGCACAAAGCTTGAAACAACCCAGATTTCCATCAACATATACATCCTTACAAAGAAATGCCACTAGCTGTGAAGGAGCGCAACAATGATGCACGCTTGGTATTGGTGCATCTCGAAGCTTCCCACAAAGGGAAAGAAGCCGGGTGCCAGATGACATCCTGAGGCCATTCATGGGAAGCCTAGATGTGGCAAAGCTGCAGGGACAGAGAGCAGATGAGAAGCTGCTGGAGGCCCAGTCGGGGTGTGGTTGACTGCAGTGGGGATGGGAGAGTTTTGGGGTGCTAGAAAGGCCCAGTACTATGATGTGGTGGCTTCATAGCTTGCCACAGTTGTCAGAACTCAGTTGAGTCTTTAAAATTGTGAATATTATTGCTTGTAAGTTATGTATTAAGTCTTTTAAAAATAGATGCAACACATACACACATGCACTTACTTTTCCTATTAAAAAAGCTAATTGGGCTGGGATTCTGTGAGAAATTGTCAGGCTTGTCAGGAGGTAAGAGTGGACGTTAGGTGGAAAGTAAGTGACTCCATTTTGATCATGCTAAGTTTGAAGTTACATCATGTAAAAGAAAAATTAATGTCAGTTTGTAACCTGCTCTTACTCTTGCTATCTGAATTCTTGTTTAGAGACAACTGGTTTTTTTTTGTTGTTTTTTTGGTTTTTTTTTTGAGACGGAGTCTCGCCTTGTCACCCAGGCTGGAGTGCAGTGGCACGATCTCGGCTCACTGCAAGCTCCCCCTCCCGGATTCACGTCATTTTCTCGCCTCAGCCTCCCAAGTAGCTGAGACTACAGATGCCCACCACCACGCCCAGCTGATTTTTTGTATTTTTAGTGGAGACTAGAGACAACTGTTTTAAGCTCTATTTTTTAACCTTACTCTTTTTCCCCCCTTATTAAGCTCTGTTTTGTGACAAGCTCCAATCTTCCCGCTTTTAATTGAAATTATTCATGACTACACAAGATAATTCCATGAGTAGGCAACAGGTTGTACGTTTCCTAAATTACTTCATATTCGTGGCCTGGCCTCAGAGCTGTGCTTTAAGAAAACCCCGTATACTGTAGTCCAAACCAGTAGGTTAATGAGCAGTGCTCACACTACAGATTTCTCCTTTACACACTCGCTGTGTAGCTCTTTGAAAGGAGGGCACAGTGCTAGTGCATTGAATGGTTATTTCAGGTCAGTAAGTCTTCAAGTGTGCATGGCAGTGTTAGGGTTCTGTGAATTAAAAGCCAATCTGTAGAGAACAACAATGCAGAAAAGGGGAATGGGAAACTATGTAGTAAAAGCTTGAATCTTCCGATTTCTGGTCTTGTGTGTGTCTTAAGCACTGTGAAGGGGTAAAGCCTCCACCATCAGGGAGTGTGTGATGTGCTGAAAGAAAACAGAGAAGAGAAAGTGCCAGAGGCTTTTTCTACCAACTGTGAGTGAGTGCATTCAGAGAAGGAGCCCTGGATGTCAGGGTAGCTGTGGCGTGCTCTAGCGCAGGTGGGCCCAGGGACCACGGGGGAAACCGGGTCAGGGAAGAGGCAGGAGGGAGCTTTGTGGCAAAGCCACAGATTAGAAAATCTCCGAGTGGCGTGAGGTCGGGAAAGTCAGGATGTTAGGTAGGTGGCAAGCAGGCAGGGGAAGCCTGCAGAGCCCAGGTCTGAGCTCCGTGCCATTGGGAGCCTGGGCTCCACATGCTGCTGGGAGCAGGGGTGGTTATTGATGGCAGTTGCGGCTCCAGAGGTGGACAGAAGGGCTGGAGCCCACAGTGGGGCACCTGTGGAGGGATGACACTGCCTGAGATGCTCACTGCGCCCCAAGGTCCCGTGTCTAAGTGCGTGGCACGCTCTCGGGGAACTTCAGAAGGTGGAAATGGAACATGGGGGAGGTCAGCCCAGCAGACACCAGGAGTGCTGTCTGCGGGGACTGAGTTAAAGTGGGAACTGGGCACAGCCCTCCCCGGGAGTCGTGGAATCATGCATTTGTATACTTGCTTGGCTCGGTGTAGCACTGTGAAGCCGCTTCACTGATGGCCATCAGGGCGGGGAGCACGCCTGGGTCTTCTGGATTCTCCACATGGGCTGTGGCTCAGTGGAGGAGTCTGCTGTGAAGGTGCTGCCTCCCTCATTGATGCATGCACTGTCAGGCCCAGGAAGTGTCTTTCTAAGCACCACTGTAATTTGTGTGATTTATGTGCTTGTGTAAGTCTTTTGCTGAAATTAGTGAAAATGAAACAATAGAAAACAAGTATAGGGCCAGGTGCAGTGACTCATGCCTGGAATCCCAGCACTTTGGGAGGCCAAGGTGGGAGGATCACTTGAGGTCAAGAGTTTGAGACAGCCTGGGCAACATGGCAAAACCTCGTCTCTACAAAAAAAAAATAAAAATAAACAGAAATCAGCCAGGTATGGTGGTCTGCACCCCTAGTCCCAGCCACGTAGGAGGCTAAGGCAGAAGGATCACTTGAGCCCAGGAGGCAGAGGCTGCAGTGAGCTGAGATGGTGCCACTGTACTCCAGCCTGGGTGACAGAGCCAGACCCTGTCTCAAAACAAAAAGAAGATAAGTATAAAGATCACTAAATTTCAGTCCATCAAGAAATGGTTTGAAAACTCTAAAAACAAGTTGAATCTATTTAATGTAAACTTTGGAGGGGTGCAGGAGAAGCTGCTTGAGCAAACCACCACTTCCTAGCAGAATTCCTTAATAATTGAAAATGAGAATTAGGAAAAGGGCTACCCACTAAGCAGGTTATTAGTGCGTCTAAATATGGTCAGCCTGGAAATAGGAGATACTTTGCAAACCACAGTGCTCCTGTACTCCCCACACTTGGCGTGGACGGCTAATTCTGGATGTTAAGATAATAACATAGGAGACAAGTTGCATCAAACCTTTTAATTATGGCCCTGAATATTCCTTTTTCTTGTTTCTTTTTTAGGTCTAGAATTACGGAGTCAACAAAGCAAACCTCAAGATGCCTCTTGTCTGCCAGCGTTGAAAGTTTCCGATATTGAACCCACCATACCTGTCACAGAGTTGGACGTGGTCCTGACAGGTCACTGTGAACGCTACGCTTTTCCCGGGTCTCGGGTTCCTTGGGGGAATTAAATGTCACTCCTCACAGAAGCAGTAGAGTCATGTCTTGGAGGTTTTCCCTGAAACACTTGAGCAGCCCTGTGCGTTCATAGTCTCGCTCTACACGATTCTTCTGCCTTGTTCTTAACTCTCGGTGGTGATAGACTCCTTCACTCAGTAAGAGCCCGTGTGTGTGTGTGTTCCTGAGAGGGGTTTGATAGGGCGCTCTGATTTCCTGCTTCTAGAATCAAATGAGGATTTGGGTTACGCTGTGACTGTGTGAAGCGCAGTTTTAAAAATCGAGGCGTCCTCAGAGCCCTTTTTCCTAATGTTTACCCTGCCATCAGCATAGAGGAAGCAGAGGGACGAGAGCCCCCAGAAAGCTGAGTGCTGAGTTGAAAGGAAGTTGGAGACCAGGTTTATCCCCCTGCCGTGTCCTGGCATTTCGTTCCTTGGCACGTTTTGTTCCGTGACACGTTTCATTCCATGGCACCTTTTGTTCCGTGGTACTTTTTGTCACGTGGTCTGTCACTGCTTTTGAGTTCTCAGGGTGCCCCCTTTCTCTCTGGCTCCTGGCTAGTAGCAGGAGAGGCACCTTTGGGGTAACCTCACCTGCGACAGTGTTGATGCTGAGCTTACCAGCGGGTGTGGCCGGACGTGACTGAGCTGAGGGCAGCATGGCTCTCACTTGCACCTTGAGGACGGGGATGGGATTTCACCCTGGGCATCCCTGTGTCCTGTGAAGCGTCTCCAGCCCACCTTTTGTCTTCTGACAGCGCTTGTCATGTTTGTATCTCATTTATTTTCATGTGTGTGTGTGTGTGGGCGCATGTGAGTGGAACTCGAGGCTGACATCTCTCTGATCTGTTAACCCTGGCAGTTTTTGTCCGTGAATCTCATTAAGTGTTTGCTAAGAGTGAGAATAAATCAGTCATCCTTCCGCACCTTGGTCCCTCCGCTGGTCTAGGGTGCTCTGCTAGGTAGGGACATATGAAGCTGAATGTCCAGCCCTCCCCTTGAGGTCAGGATGGGTGGGTGGGGGACACCAGGAGCCTTGTTTGGGGCCCTGGGGCAGCCTTCTGTTGTGGGGCCAGAGGGTGGCAGGGCCTGTTGGGGAAGATGAGCAGCGCTGAGGACGGGTGCGATGTGGGCCCAGGGGTCTCGGGGGCACCTGGTCAGAGTTCCCTCTGGTTGACGGGGAGAGGTTGGGTAACTGGAACTCGCAGTTATGAGACCAGAAGTTCGTGGTTCCATCCTTCCGTTCCCATTCCTTGGAGAGCACGGGTTGCTTTACTATTGAAGACAGTTCCAGTTTTTAGTCATGAAAATATGATTGGGAAATTTATATAAACTCTAGTATAAGTCTTAAACCTCCATTCTTGAAAAAACAATAAATAGCATTGTTTTTAAATATTACAAGTGGTTAGAATTTTACTGGCAGCAATAAAAATTAAATCCCTTTTGTTTTTCTAGCTGGAGATATCCCTGTTCAGTACTGCGCCCAGCCCACCAATGGCATGGTGTATTTCCGGGCCTTCTCCAGCCTGAACACACTCCCCGAGGAGCTGAGGCCCTATGTGCCCCTCTTCTGCAGCGTCCTCACCAAGTACGAGTCGCAACATACCCTTGTGTGTCTTATTAATGTCTGCTTTGTGTGCATATCTGTATTCTAATGCATCAGTAGGAATTACCTTCAGTGAATCACAACTTACAATGTTAGTGTGTAAGTATGGTGTACAATATATTGGTTTAGAATTTTTTATGAAAGTAACATTTTCTTACTATATTACATTGAAATAGTTATGAATCTACGGTATAATATAAGGAGATACTTATAGATCTCCATCTCAGCCTATGAAGCTTTGGAAAGGATTGATGGTTTAATCCGAAAATGTAAGTAATTGGATGTGCAGTGTGGCCTGGGGCTGCCTTAGGAACAGGTGTGCCTGCTGCGTGCGTGGCTCCTCCTCCAAGCCGACCCTGCAGTTGCTGTCGTCCTCCCTAGGTGGGGTGTGCACAGATCTGGAAACACACACACGAGTGCACACATCAACACTTGACTTTTTGCCCAGCTCTGCCGTGGCCGAGGTTGCAGGACAAGCAGTAGACAGGGCTGTGGGCTCCTGTTCCCATCCAGAATAATAGGGCGACAGGGAACCCTGCAGCCAGCTTCAGGGACCACTGCCCAACCTGACATGCAGCTGGGGTCTTCCCTTTGTGGAGATGAAGTTGTCTGCATGCTGCAGAAAGCTATGTGGCTGTGACACCTTCTGCACCCTGGCTGAGGGTCCGCTCAGATGGAAAAATGTCTTCAGGGTTTTGAAGGTTCCCTGCCTTTCTTTTTAAATATAGCTGCCACTGTTCATCCTTTTGTAGCGGTTTAGAAAACACCTCATGGTCATTCCCTTGACTCAATTATTGCTGGCATTAGCAGTGTCACTGTGAATGTTTCTTTCAAAAGCATGAGTGCTGAGAGGAAACTGCTTTTCTTAAAAACTTAAAAAACCTTTAGTCTTCGGACTCCCCCGCCCAGGCTACCAGACATTCGAGCAAAACAAAGGAAGTATGTATCACGGTGATCTGGGTGAAGAGAGTAGGGAGTAGTCATAAAACATTTATTGAAGAGCTTACAACTGGAAATGCCTATTTTAGAATGGTGTTTTAAGTGCAGACACTGGCTGCCCAAGTGTCTTGTGCCTCTGGACGCTAACTTCCTAGGCGGGAGAAACTGGGGTCTCCCTGGGGAAGGGGGCACATGAACTCTCGAGGGCGAAGGCCAGAGTGCACCTGCTTATGACCTTCGAAGTGTAGAGAGGTTGGCAAAGCCGCAGTTATTGAATTAATGGAAGCAACTTGTAACTCAAGATGCACGATTTTAAAAATGATTCAGTAAAGACTGACTTGTAATCGGGGCGATGCTTCTCTGCTGTGTCAGGCTGGGCTGCGGCCTTCTTGACTACCGGGAGCAGGCTCAGCAGATAGAATTGAAGACCGGAGGGATGAGTGCTTCTCCCCACGTGCTCCCCGACGACTCACACATGGACACCTACGAGCAGGTAGCCTGGTACCGTCAGACGACTGCTGCGGTGGGAAGCTTTTCTCCAGTGTCTGTCACTGTTCGATTCGGCCCTAATTCCTTTCTTCTGTGTTTTCTTTGGTTCAGGGTGTGCTTTTCTCCTCTCTCTGCCTGGATCGAAACCTGCCAGACATGATGCAGCTATGGAGTGAAATATTTAACAAGTAACTTTATTTGCAAGAGTTGTCCATTCTTGGGGTGTACTAGAGATCTTTGTTTGAAGTACTTTAAAGGAGACAGTTTTACTCGTGTGTGTTGTTGTTTTCCAAGTCTGACTTTTACTTGTAGTTCATATGGACTTATAAAATTTCTTTGGTTGTTAAAGTACTCTGAAAACTTAATCAACTTTCCATGATACTGAAGGGACGTGAGGAATGGGTCTCCAGGAATTTTTTCTTCTCCTTTTTCCATAGCCCGTGCTTTGAAGAAGAGGAGCACTTCAAGGTGCTGGTGAAGATGACCGCCCAGGAGCTCGCCAATGGAATTCCTGACTCTGGGCACCTGTACGCATCCATCAGGGCAGGCCGGACCCTCACGCCCGCAGGGGACCTGCAGGAGACCTTCAGCGGGATGGATCAGGTGGGAAGCTTGGAAGGAACCTCTATTACTCCGGTTTAGCCACATATTCCAGAGTTACTAATTTCTTTGGGAATACATTAATTTATGTCCCAGAAATGCTAACTTTCTAACTGACTAAATATGGGGAAGAATTGGTTGGTTGGTTTTGACTCATCTTCCTCTTTGTACCACCCTGCATCCCAGTTCCAGCCCTGCCCAAGCCGTGCACTCGCACACATAACCCCTGCCCAAGCAGGGTTCTGATGTCACAGGTGCTTGGTTCAGACTCAGCGGGTCTGTTGTAGCCTCTGCCTCTCTCTGAGCGAGTTTCCTCTGGCTTAGGTGCGGCTGATGAAGAGGATTGCAGAAATGACAGATATCAAACCCATCCTGAGGAAGCTCCCGCGTATCAAGAAACACTTGTTAAATGGTGATAATATGAGGTGCATGTGTGATTTGTTTCTAAATATTTTATGATTCATTCTATTAAGTATAGTTTTTAGGTATTTCTTACTTGTAGAAACTTCAAGATAGAGTGCTTGGTAAAGGTTATAGAATTTATTGTAAATGTCAAGTGTTCTAACAAACTAAGAAAATATTTTAAGCCTATTAAAAGTTGTAGGAGATGGGGAAGAAAGCAGGCTAATTTTGTGCTAGAAGTGCAAATAGATTGAGGGCAAGTAGTTATATTGCTTCCAAAAGCACATGGTCCGTAACTGAGGTATCTGTAAAGGTGAGCTTGCTGAAGACCAGAGTAAAAGTGCAGTTTCTTATAAAATTATGTGATGCTTTGAGGAAACATCTGGCAGCTCAGTCCTATACCTTCAGTTGGCCTTATGCCCTCAGATGTGTGAGCATGAATAAAGTTTAAAAATGATTGTTTATTTTCAGCATCTTATTGTCAGTGACATTGATGTATTCATCAGTACTTAACAAGAAAATGTTTGCTGAAGTCACTTGTCCTTCTTCACACAGAGTCCTGATGCCTTTCCCCAGTCATGTCCTGAGAATCCCTGGCAGATTCTACAGGGCGGTCTGTGGGTGGCCAGAGGTGAAGCCTGGCGATCAGGGTCTCTTGGCATTGGGCTCAGGCAGGCCTGGCTTCTGGTGCCGCCGGGTCAGCACTCACACTCGCTCCCAGGCGGTCCTGGGCAGCTGACCCACTTGCGTCTTCTGCTTCCTCCTCCATAAAACCTTCCTTTGCAGGTTTATCGTAAGGAATAAAAGAAAGAATATCTGCAAGGCAGCATACATGCCTGGGATATAGTTAGTATTAATATAATGGTACCTGCTGTTACTTTAACTAGAATAAGTTCAGGATTTACAGCTGAAAGGAAAAAATATACACTCTGTCAATATACTGTAGAGTTCAAGTAGCTTTTATATGATAGTAGTATTTGCAATTCTGTGGAATTTGGAAGAGTTCTATTTTCATGTAACTTTGAGAGCATGGTATTTTTTTGCAGTTTATAATGTTCTGCTTTAACAACCAGTTCACATTTTCAAATTGATGACTTCTGGACAGTAATTTTAAAAGTTGTCAGTGTTTTGATAGTGTAATTCCGAAGGCACGGTTAGCAGATCTTAATAGTCTCTGTATTTTCTTTGCTCTTCAGAAGAACTAGAGTTTAGAGTCACAGGCTCCGCGTATGGACGGCTTCATTAGCTGCCACATTGAACTGTGCGGAAATCTCTTGATAACCTGAAGCACTGAAGAGCAGGGAGGCGGCCGTGGCATTTCCACATTTGGCTGCTGTTTAACACTCTGAACAGTATTTTCTATAAAAACAACATTATTGAGTTATACAAAATGTGATGAATTACTAAAACTGTTTTTTCTAACAGTGGTTTTATGTATACATAATTTTTCAAACAGGTGTTCAGTGAATGCGACTCCTCAGCAGATGCCTCAGACAGAAAAAGCGGTCGAAGACTTCCTTAGAAGCATCGGTCGGAGTAAAAAGGAACGGAGGCCTGTGCGCCCACACACGGTCGAGGTATGCACTGGTGGTGCTGGCGCCCGGTGAGCGCCTGGTGGGTGCCAGAGCAGCTCTCATGTTTTACACGCATTAACTCAATTCTCAGAGCAGTCCAGCATGTGGGGGTTCATATCCCCCGTACGCAGATGAAGAAACTGAGGTTCAGGAGGATTAAGTATCTTGTGCAGTGTTGGGCCAGTTAAGTGAGTTCAGACCCTGCGGTGTGGCCTTAGATCCCGCGCTCACTTCTGTGCCTTGCAGTGAGTAGTCTGATAGGAAAACAGACTTTGGCTGGAATACGCTGGCAGAGGAATGGCCCAAACCGTAGCCTGAAGGCTGTTCACTGCTGTTTCTTTGACTCATGAATCCATGGATTTGACATGGAACAGTGATGTCGGTGATAACTAACTTAGTAAATTTGATTAACTTAGAGAGTTGTAGTCTAGTTCATGGATGTCAGTAGAGAAGCCGTGCTGCTCCGTGGAGGAGGTTGACGCTCATGTCTTCTCCGTTGGTGTCTGCGTATCCCTGGTTCAATTCTGGATGTGGTCTCTCTGTTGGCCCCTGGGAGTGGAGCCTTTGGGAGGTGGCCTCCTGCTGCTCCAGGCCCCTCTGCCTGCAACCCTTTCACCTTAAATGTCCTCTTGATTTGACAGATTAATGACAAGAAAGTGCAGAAAGAAAGGTTAAAATATTTTCTTTGTACCATATAACAAGGCTACCTTTTCCTTGACTGTCTGAAAATTTATTTTAATATTTTCTTAATTTCTTTTACTCACTTTATTTCTTTTTTTAGTTTTTGTTATTTTGAGACAGGGTCTGTCTCTGGCACTCGGGCTGGAGTGCAGTGGTGCCATTACAACTAGCTGTAGCCGTGACCTCCTGGGCTCAAGTGATCCTCCAATCTCAGCCTCCCAAGTAGCTGGGGCTACAGGTGTGCACCACCATGCCCAGCTAATTTTTAAAAATTTTTTGTTGAGATGGGAGCTCACTACATTGCCCAGGCTGGTCTCAGACTCCTGGACCCAAGCAATCCTCCCACCTCAGCCTCCAAAGTGCTGGCATTATAGGCATGAGCCACTCTGCCCAGCCTATTTTTATTTTTTTTAAGCGTTTATTATTTAAAACACTTACACCTGCCCTAACACTTGTTATTAGCTGTGTGAATTTTATAAACTCTGTTACTTCTTATATATTTCAAGTGAGTTCTGGATTTTTCTCTTTTCTCTTGGAAACTTGATTTTCAGAAACCTGTGCCCAGCAGCTCTGGTGGAGATGCCCACGTTCCCCATGGCTCCCAGGTCATTAGGAAGCTGGTCATGGTAAGAACCACAGCCCATCCGGGTTGCCAGCGGGTGGGTGCTTCCCTGCATGGCTGTGTCTGCCACTGATGTTCGAATGTTCCTCCGTCCGCCTGTCTGTGGGGCTGGCGTGTCCCTAGAGTTGCGAGTTCAGTGCATCCTTTGTCACTGCCACCCTGAGCCTTTTCTCTCTCAGACAGTACTGAGTGAAGGCCCTGGTGGGGGTGTGTCCTCCTGTGCCGAGGAGGGCCCTGGTATGGGGTGCGTCTTCCCTGTGCCCAGGAAGAGGGCTACTGCTCTGGGTGGTCTCCTCCCGGGCAACTCACCCTTCTTTGAACGTAGCTCCCGAGCTGAGTCGATGCCAGTGGAGCGGTCTGACAGATCCTTTCCGCGACTCAGCCTGGTGCTGATGCTGTTTGGTTTGGTTCCTTGTGGAGTAGAGTGATTTAACACATTCCTATGATATAATATGATATGAAATATAAATATGTAACTGTGATATAAACGGCGTAGAATGAAATGTTTTTAATTGAACAGTATACGTTAAGGCATCACGTCAAGATTGGAGGACTTCATGTCAGTTTTACAGTGAGAAATTGTGTGGAGTGACGGAACTGCAGTGCCTTGCTCTCGCGCCCCAGCACCTGGCTGCAGAGTGTCACGGAGATGGGACCCCTGAGATGGCTCCAGTCCCAGTGCCGTGGGCAGTGCGTGGGAGCACAGCCGCCTCTGACCCCTGAGTGGGTCCAGTCCCAGTGCCGTGGGCGGTGCATGGCAGCACAGCCGCCTCTGACCATACCGTGTCCCTCAGGAACCCACCTTCAAGCCCTGGCAGATGAAGACTCACTTCCTGATGCCCTTCCCGGTGAATTACGTGGGTGAATGCATCCGAACTGTCCCCTACACGGACCCAGATCATGCCAGGTAGGAGGGTGTAGGTCGGGACCTCTCAGGCCTGAGCCTTACGGAAGAGCTTGTCAAGGCTGTTCGAGTTCACAGGGCGTGTTTTAGCACAGGAAAAGTCTGTGCTGACTCTGAGTGTTGGACCTGGGGCTGTGTGAGTCTACGAGTGCTCCTCTTTAACCAGCAGTCTTTGTGAACAGAGACCCAGTTTTAGAGCCAGTCATTTTTGTAAACAATTTCTATTATTGAGGAGTCCTATGAACAATACAGATACCTATGACCTTAAACACAGACTGCTTTCAACATGCCCCATGTACTCACCTCATCTCTAGGTAAAAATCGAATGAATTTAGGCTGAGATTTCTGATAAACATGGTAGGTTAAGCCTTCATGAGGACAGATGCGTGAATGACAGCAAAGGCAGATCAAGACACGAAGCTACAAGGGAAAGAGTGGGAGGTGACCCGGAGAGCCATGGGGGCTGCAGGAGAACCTCGTGAGCCAGACTCTGGGTGGGTGGGGGGTGCCTGACCTGGGGCCACAGAGGGACAGGGCAGTGGGGAGAAACCAGGTGGTCCTGCAGAGCCCTGCAGATGGCAGGGCTGGAGGCCGCCTCACAGTCCCTCTAAGGAGTTTGTCTCCCCTGTCTCCCCACCAAGTCAGAAGCTCAGGGAAGGAGGCCCTGGGTTGAGCAGCCGAAGCCACAGCCAAGAGTCAGGGTCAGGCCTGTTCCCAAAGTGGCGTGGGGCGAGGGAGTTTGCAGCCTACAGACTGGCCCTCCAGCCCCTTCTTCCGAACTCTGGCTGCCCCTTGGCTGTGTTCATCCCATCTGGGGAAACTGGCCAGACCAGGACAGACTCACAGACGTGCACCTTTGGGGACCCGTCAGTTGGGTGTGTATGACACAGATATGTGCAAACATGTTATATCCCGGAAATTCACTTCCTGTGTCCTTGTCCCAGGCAGCTACCCCCATGAGGGACTAAACCAAGGAGTGAGCCTGGTAGAGAGGGGGAAGGCAGGCTTAGGCCTGGGCAGCCTGTCCTGATTGGAGAAGGAGCCGGGCCTCCGAGGTGCACGTGTGTCACAGAGGGTCACAGATGGGGAGGTGTGTAGGAGGCAGGCGGGAAGAAACGTGGGGCTGCAGTGGGGGCCCAGAAAGAGCTGGCTGTAGAAGTATGTGGTCAGCTGTTTTGTTCATTTATTTCCATATTTGTAGAAGATGAACAGATCTGTCTGCTATGCCGGCAGAAGAGTGGTGTCTGTTTCCACTATCCAACAGGAAAATGTAGACAGAAAACACTAAAAATGTGGAGGTTCCCCCTGGGCAGTGGGATTCCAGATCTTTTTTTCCTTGTGTTTTGTATTTTATAATCTTTCAAAAGTGAGCATGTTTTTAATATACAAGTAATAGAAATTTCTCAGGAAGGATAATGTGTGGACGGATGGAACGCCATCCCTGCCGGTGCTGGTGGAGACTCCGTCCCCCAGGGTCTGACTCCAGCCTCGCTAGTCCCGGCTGACGGCGCCCCAGCCACCCGAGTGGCGCTGGGTTTCTCCTGGAGGACCCACACGAGATGGTCGTGACTTCTCCCACCACAGCCCCTGGGAACACGCCCACTCCTTCCTTGATTTCCCACCTGGCCTATTTGACTCCCTTCATCCACTTTAGGAAAAGGCCTGTCTGTGGAAGCGGCGACCTGGGGCTGATCTCACCACGGGCGTCTTCAAGGAGCCTGTGTCTGTGCTGCAGACCCTCCCATCATTGTCTGCCCCGCCTTCTGTCGGAGGTGGATGTGTTCTAGAATCAGCTTGAATGTGATGTTACCGTTCACAGTGGAAGGCAGAGGAAATTGGCCCTGTTCCTAGAAATGTGCTTTATCAGAGAGTGTGTGTTTTCTTAAGGGATTCTTATAAAACTCACTTCAGTTTCCTTTCTTTCCATATTCTGATGTGAGACATTTAAATAAATGTTCATTTGCTCATTTGCCTTTATAATAGAAATAACCTCTTTCTACTTCACGAGATTTTAAAAATGCCACATGTGCATTGGAACAAGTTAAGCAGTGTGGTGCTGGAAGTGTTAAGATTCCCTCCCCACCACCTCTCCCTTCAACCCTGTAATCTAAGCCAACTGTTTGAAAATTGTGCTTCCTTGTGCTTTTTAGTTTTGGTTAATTGAAAAGAAAATCTCATGCCTGTAAGCTCAGCACTTTGAAGGCAGGAGGATCACTTGAAGCCAGGTGTTTGAGACCAGCCTGGGCAACAAAGCTAGACCCTGCCTCTACAAAAACTGTAAAAATAGTCAGGCGTGGTGGCACACACCTGTAGGCCCAGCTACTCAGGAGGCTGTTGTGGGAGGATCCCTTGAGCCCAGGAGTTCAAAGCTGCAGTGAGCTGTGATTGCACTAATGCACTCCAGCCTGGCGACAGAGCGAGACCCCATCTCTTAAAAAACAAGACCAAAATATGGGACCATAATTTATGCAGCATTATTTTACAACTCGATTTTCATTTTCACTTAATCCAACAATTACTTCATTGTCTATGCTTTTTTATCAGCCACGGTATTAACTTGCATTTTTTAATCATTTCAGTCTTAAAATCCTTGCACGTTTGATGACTGCCAAATTCTTGCATACAGAAATTCGAGAAAAAGGCGGTGCTTATGGTGGAGGCGCAAAACTCAGCCACAATGGGATTTTCACCCTTTACTCTTACAGGTGAGTTTTGCTCTAGTTCACACATTGGGATGCACACGTCGTTTTAGTCTTCTACTCATGATTATCAGTGTCATTTTCTTCTACTGCAGTGAATTTTAGACAAAAGTTGTTCTGTGTGCTTCTTTTCACTCCTTGGGCACTTAGCCACACCCAGCAATGTCCTTTCTGGCGCGAGGATTAGGGCCAGCAGCCGAAACAGGAAGCATTCTGCCTTCAGTAAACCCTGGCTTCAGCCAGCATATTTTGGCAGAACACGGTAGTGCCTCCATCCGTGGGTTTGCCTTCCATGGTTTATTACCCACAGTCCCCCTCGGTCTGAAAATATTAAATGGAAAATTCCAGACATAAACACTTCCTAAGTTTTAAATTGTACACCATTCTTCTAAGCAGTGGGATGAAAGCTGACGCTGTCTACGGTACCTGCCTGTTGGTCACCCAGTAGCCGTCTAGGTATCAGATACGCTGTGGGTATCCAAGAGCTTCTGTTCACAGAACCCTTGTTTTACTTAATAGTAGCCCATCAGCGTAACTTTTATTACAGTATAATTGTTGTATTTTGTTAATATCTTGCTGCACCTAATCTATAAACTTTATCATAGGTATAGGAAAAAAACATAGTATCCATAGTGGCTGTCTGAGGTTGCAGCCCTGCCGTGGGGGTCCTGAAACACAGGCCCCAGGTGAGGGGGCTGATACAGCCTGAGAGCGTTCTTAGCTCATTTCAGTTGGAGGTGCCTGATGTGGATGCAGTTCTGTTAGCTTTCATAAACATAACACCGTTACTGTAAAGCAATATTCTTGATTTTCTATGGCTTTGCTGCCTAAGAGAACATGTATTCCAACAGTTTTTAAGAAGGAGCCAGCCGGCCGCAGTGGCAAGTGCCTGTGGTCCTAGCTACAGGAGGCTAAGGCGGGAGGATCCCTTGAGCCTGGGGAGGTTGAAACTGCAGTGAGCAGATTGCGCCACTGCACACCAGCCTGGGCGACAGTGAGACCCTGTCCCGTGGATGCATAGCTAGATTAGGTAGGTAGGCAGGCATGTAGGTAGATACGTAGGTAGCCATTGCCACTCTGATGAGTTCTCCCCCTTGCTGTGCTGGAAGCCATGCTTCTAGACAAGGATGGGGAAGCAGCTCACAGCCGCCCCTCTGCAGCTCAGGGTGAAGGGAGGGCTGGGCTCTTTGCATTTACACGAAGGGAAGTCTGGATTGGCCCCCTCAGGCTGATTCCTGTACTACCCTGGGTGTGTCTTCAGGGAGATGAAAGGAAAACCTTTGTTTGCTTAATTTTTCCATGTAAGTCTTTGTAATTTCCCTGTAATCCTGACCTGCCCCTACCCTCCACTGACTTTCCTCTCCTGATGAGGTCACAGAGAAGTGTATTTAAATAATCTAGGGAGGACTTTGTGCAGACAGACCTTGTCTAAGAGGGAGAACATGTTGAAAGGCTTATGTGATCAGATTTAAATTTCCATTGAGAGTAATTGAGCGATTTGTCAGTGGGCTGTTTGGACTAAATCAGATATAAAATAGAGCTGTTAACCCATAGAAGATGTTGAACTGTTAAGTCGACAGAGGTTTGTCATAAACTTGTCCACTGGTAAAATGCTTGCCCGTTTATTTCTCTGGGTTTCCTAGGGACCCAAATACAATAGAGACGCTCCAGTCTTTTGGGAAGGCTGTCGACTGGGCTAAGTCTGGAAAATTCACACAGCAAGACATCGACGAAGCCAAACTTTCTGTCTTCTCAACCGTAGATGCTCCTGTCGCTCCTTCAGACAAAGGTATTTTGAGTATAACAGTGAGAATCTCAACCCACAGCCTCACAGATGACGTTGCTGTTTTCCAAGTTCCCGGCATGCATGGGCAGGAGCACTAGCTTCTGGTGCCTCCATCCTTGCTTGTGATACGATTTCCACGTCTGACACCCTAAACACGCTTCCTGACATCCGGGCGAGAAGAGTGCATCCTGTCATTTGTTTTACTGACCTGAGACCCAGTGGGGCCAACCCATGGCAGTGTCCGGGCTCTTTAGGGTGGAAGGAGGACGTGGGCACGGCCCGGGCATGGCCACGTTACTCTCTGGAGCCGCTTTTGCTCACAGCATCATCAGCCTCACGCGGCGCTGACTGCATCCCTGCTGCAGAAGCAGGCGTGGGTAGGGGTCAGCGTGGCACGTGGGAGCTGGAGGTCGGGGTGTGATCTCTGGGTTGTTAGACACATCCCTGTGGTTGAAACATGCACGTGAAATGACAGTGAGATGCCTGTGTCCCCTCCGGGACATGAGTGCACAGCCCACAACGCGAGCTCCCGGGCAGCGGCTCCATCGTGCCTGTGGATTGTCTTCTAGGAATGGACCACTTCTTGTACGGCCTCTCGGATGAGATGAAGCAGGCCCACAGAGAGCAGCTCTTTGCTGTCAGCCACGACAAGCTCCTGGCCGTGAGCGATAGGTGAGTGGGGAGCGGGGGAGACAGCGTCTGGGACTGGAAGCCCTCGTGCTGACTCTAACAGCGCTCACGCAGAAGCCAGTCCTTGCTGACCACGCCTGCCTTCCTCTCAGATACCTCGGCACTGGGAAGAGCACACACGGCCTGGCCATCCTCGGACCCGAGAACCCGAAAATTGCCAAGGACCCATCCTGGATCATCCAATGAGCAGCCGTGGCGCTCGACTGCACAGGAGCCCGAGACAATACACCTCCGAGCTGAATATGAAAAGTCAGAAATGCTACTGCTTTTTCCAAGAATATTATGTCATTGAGTGTCGCCAAAGCCCTTGACTGGCGAGTCAAAAACTCAGATCTATCTTAAGAGTGACCAGGAAGAGGTTCATTGAAATAATCATGCATGAAGCGCCAAAGATGCACCATGTAGAATTTTCACTTTGTACTGGCAGGCTCGTTTTACCTCATTCTAGAATATTTAAGAATCTAAAAATAAAGGGCAACTCTGACTTAACCTCTGCTTGAGTCATTATTTTAAGCAGCATTTAGGGCCTTTATTTAAAAACAGAAGTAAAATGAAAAGGTGCACAAGGGTGTCCCACGTCTGCCTGCGCTGATTCAGGAAACTCCATCACACCGAGGCCCTGGGGGAGTGTCCACCAGACGGGAGTTCACCGCGGCGGCTGCATGGAAACCGTCCTGAGAAGCAAGTGGGTTGGGGTGAGTAAGCGCTTGCTTCATCGTTACAGAGCCAGAAAGGAAAGCCTCCGCGCTAGCTCTTTCTTGGCTGTCGGACTCTGATTTCCCAAACAGAGTTTGTTTTTGGCCTCTCCTCTCCCTCCACCCAGCTCTCTGCCCCCATTTCTGAGGCGCAGCTGTTCTCTCTTGCAGACTAGAGCTAAGAGGCAGAAACGCTGTCCCTACAGGAGGGGGGCCCACCAGGGCAGCAGGGCTGTCATCCCAGCAGCCGTGTCTACTCTGGCAGGAGTCTTCCGGAGAGTTCCAACCTAGGTCCCAGCGAGGACTGTGGCTTGGCCTGGAGGAGAAGCTGGCTATCAGATTTTTGAACCCACCTCCGCCCCACCCACCCCTTGGTGGTTTTAACATGCAGCTAGGATTGCAATCAAGAGGACAAGTAACTAAGATTCATGTTTTACTTTCAAAGGAGAGCAGGAGCCTGGGGTCGAGGCCCAGGGTCCCGGCCTGCTGCTGTGGATGGAAACTGACACATGGCAGATATGGAATGGTGAGTAAACGTGGCCTTCCCCTTGGCCTGTGTGAACTCCTGGCTTTGTTCTCCTTGTATGACGTGTGCATAGTTCAGTGATCCCTATAAAAATATTTTGCTAATCTTTGCCCACAAAACTGAGAAAACCTTTAGTAGCCACCCATAGATTGAGGTACTAATCTCCTACTTAAAAAACTAAAACAGAGGACTGTTGGAGTCATAGGCAAATGTTTAATTAATTCTGCTCATATGCACATCTGAAAGCATGAGACACACTCCACAGACAGCACGCACTGGAGCAGGTGGGGCAGATGGGCACTCGCCGATTAGGTATTAATGTCAATAATACGTGCATAAAGTGCTGATAAAATAACTTAAGTGTTACAAAAACAGACAGTCCACGGTGGCTGCAGGCACATGCAGGCGGGACTGGGTCAGACACTCCAGGGCTGCACATGTTCCAGCTGGCCTGAGTCCGACACGTCATAGCTGGCCTTGTACTTGGCCAGGATTTTCATGAGGGGCCGTAGCTTGAGCCACCACTGTTCTTTGGGAATCCTGTGCCTGTGGAGGTAAGAGGAGACAGCAGTGAGGCCTGCAGTCACTGGCGGGAGATGCCTCCGCCTGGCCAGCACAGCGAGCGGTCTTGCCAGAAACACAGGGTTTGTAGGGTCGGCTGAATCAACTAGATGATAAAGCCAATTTCAGGATCAAATGAAACCATTGTTTAAAATTATTCCCGAAGACCCAGTGGTGGAGTCTCGCTCTGTCGCCAGGCTTGAGTACAGTGGTGCAATCTCAGCTCACTGCAACCTCTGCCTCCCGGGTTCAAGCGATTTCTCCTGCCTCAGCCTCCTGAGTAGCTGGGACTACAGGTGTGCATCACCATGCCTGGCTCATTTTTGTATTTTTAGTAGAGATGGGGTTTCACCATATGAGCCAGGTTGGTCTCGATCTCTTGACCTTGTGATCCACCTGTCTCGGCCTCCCACAGTGCTGGGATTATAGGCATGAGCCACCGCGCCCAGCCAAGACCTAGTATTTTTTTAACTGAGCTTCAGAAAAGCCAGTTCCTCAAACCCCTGAATGAGTTGCCGACAGCAACAGCAATGGCCATTCCCCTGTCCCGTACTCACATTGGGGTCTTATTGCCTCAGGGAACCCAGCCAACTTACTCAAAATCCGTTTGCTTCTTCAGCTCTGCCACAGGTTGAAAAATAACGTTTCTTTTGCTTATTCCCAGCACACAAATGGAATCATCGGTGGTAAATTTTTTTCCTATAAAAGATTTTAAAAAAGATTAATAACACCCTGTCAACATGGGCAGGTGGGGGAGCAGAATCACGGGGCGAGATGAGAACTGAGATTCCTCAGAACCATGCTGAACCCGGCCTGGAAGCCCAGTGAGACTGAGAACAGCCGCGCAGTGGGGCCAGCACCTGGCCTCGTGCAGCTCTGCTCCTGTGGGACTGCCCCGAGGGCTTCCTGGAAAGCAGCTTTTGTTTTTTCCTCCCAGTGGAGAGAATTTTTCACTAAATAGTGGAATAGGGAAATTAGCTTAAATTACAGGACACTAATTTATGCTCACACATACACACACTGAGAGGCAAAAAGCATCCATAGCTAAATTAGCAAAAGAAAATCGCTGTAGAAAGAATCAAAGCCAAAGTCAGTTCTTCAAAAAGACAAACCCATTGAAACTATTCACATCACTGGTTTTTATAGACTGTCATTTTTCTAAGTTGGACACTGGCAGTGATAGTGGTTTGCCGGAATAAAAGCACACATCTGCTATGACTGATTAAGAAAGCTGAGGGGGGTGGGGGTGAGAAAGATGCTGGCACAAAGAGCCACTCAGGAATGAGTGGGGAACAGCCATGTTGGAGCCATTAACAAGAGTATTATAAAAAAGTCATGTTTCTTGAAACTTCAGTTTAAAGATTTCTTAGAATATGTAACTTACAGAACTGATTTAAGGAAGAACATGCACAGTTCTACGAACATGCAGTTCTACAAACATGAACAATTCATTCAGCAGTCAGATCTTCCTCAAAACTGGAAGTTTTGATGGATAGTCACAAGGAGGTTGTCCTAGCAAACATTCAAAAAATAGAAGGCCCCACTTAAACTGTGAGGGGAAATTGCTGGCCAACGTTCAGGATCTCTAGAGCAAAAAGCCTGCACAAAAGAACTGCAGACTGCATCTAGCAGTGATAAAAGAGAACATGTCATACCCAAGCTGATCTTATCCCAGGAATCCAAGGTTGGTTAAATAGCAACACTCAGAGATCAGGAGTAAAACATCACGTGCAGCTCAGTACTGAACTGAAGAAGGAACCAGCACCCTACTTCTCCCCGATAGGACAGCATTTTCACCAAGGCAGGACGGCCTGCATCACGAGGCTGTGGCCTCCCTCCCCAGACCCCTTACCTCTGCCCCGGGCCTCCTTGAGTTTTGCAGTGATCCACTCCATAGCTCTGGCAGAGATTTTGGTTCCAAAGTTTCTATCAAATGGAGAGGGTGCCCCACCCTGTTGGTGGTTAGAGTTATATGAAATACCAGTTATACAGTAACACTTTGCTGTTAAATAGAAATGACAATTTCTATTTTGCAGAATTCATGTTTTTATTTCTAGGTCCTTATAGTTGGAACAGAACAAAACCTGTGATTCCCGTAGCCTGAACTTGGCCTGTTAAGAAAAAGTATCAAGTGTTCCCCCCGCTCAGTAAGATGAGGATTTTAATAAACCGAACAAGTCAACTAACAATCTTCATTATTTTAAAATCTTAAATCAGGATTTCATGAACTCATCTGAGCTGGGGATGGGTCACAGCTTTAATCTGATAACCGTTGTGGATTCTTTAAGAAGATCACACATATGCCTACTATTTCATCATCATTGCAGGGGATTCATGGGCTCTGGCTTAAAAGTATAAGAATAGGAGGTGGTGAGGAAGGAGTGTGTGCAAGTTAGGAGGCCTGGACCCTGTGTCCCAGGCTCAGCTCATAACACGTGTGTGCCTGTGTGCAGCTCATTCCAGGTCATTCTGACTTGGGGTGTCAAGTATACTACATGTCTGATAATCCATTTTAAATCTTAGGGAAGCTCCAGTTTTTAACTTGATGAAGTGTTTAATTTGAATAAGCATTTCCAAGTAATGGGGGTATCACTGTTTTCATGAAAGCTGACAGTTCCCTTAAAATCCCCATTACTCAAACCTCACCAACAAAAGAATCCTAAAGCTGGTGATGTTTGGCATCACTTAAAAGTTCAGATGTTTTGGCTGGGCACAGTGGCTCAGGCCTGTATTCCCACCACTTTGGGAGGCTGAGGTGGGTGAATCATCTGAGGTCAGGAGTTTGAGACCAGCCTGGCCAACGTGGTGAAACCCCATCTCTACTAAAAATACAAAAATTAGCTGGGTGTGGTGGTGGGTGCCTATACTGCCATCTCCTCGGGAGGCTGATGCAGGAGAATCACTTGAACCTGGAAGGTGGAGGTTGCAGTGAGCCAAGCTTGTACCACTGCACTCCAGCCTGGGCAACAGAGCAAGACTCTGTCTCAAAAAGTTCAGATGTTTTTTATCATCTTGGAATTTACTTATACATTTTTCCCCACAATGGCTAAAATAAGACACTAATCTTTTAAAAGTCACATGACAGGGGCTTTGTGGCCCCTCATGCAGTCTCGGGCCTACCTGCTGCATGTGACCCAGCACGTTCTTCCTGCAGTCAAACACGCCTTTGCCCTCTTCTGAATACAGCTGGTAAATGAAGTCGGTGGTGTAGTTTTCACTGCAGCTCTCATTTCTGAAACGAGCGAGAAGGAGTCACTTTGTTTAGCGTGCAGTGGGCACGTGGCTCCCTGCTTGGGGAGATGGCCCTGGGAGGCTGGACTCCCGCATCCCCCAACCCTATGGTGATTCTACATCAACACCAGTCCCTCCAGTTCACGGTTTTGCTTTCTGCAGTTTGTTACCCATGGTCCAGTGGTCAACTGAGGCCCACAAATATTAAATGGAAAATTCCAGAAATAAATATGTAAGTTTTAAATTGCACACCATTCTGAGTAGCGTGATGAAATCTCGTGCTCTCTTGCTGTCCCACCCAGAACGTCAATCATCCCTGTGCCCTGCATCTCCATGCTGTCTGTGCCTCCTGCCCGAGTCACTCAGTAGCCACCTTGGTTATCAGATGGAAGCAACCTCGTGTATACAGGGGGCGGGTACTATCCCCAGGTTCAGACACCCACTGCAGTCTTGGGACACAGTCCCTGAGGCTAAGAGGGATGACTGTATTTCCTTCTTTCTTCATAAACATCAGGTGCTAATTAGGGAAATGATTGCAAGATATCAAAGAATAAGAGACTATAAAGCAAAAATATTAGTTGTCTAAATGCAGGCAAGCCTTTAGAGCAATGCACCACAGCTGTCTTCTGCACCTGCTCAGTGTGTGTAGTGCACTCTAGCGGCAAAGAAATGACCACTCATCCAGCCCAAGTCACAGACTAGAATCTAAGAACCAGGGTGTGGCGGTGAGGGTAAGATCAGCCCCTGGTCTCTCTCTCTCACCTGAGCACAAGGCCTCTCTGGATGGTGGTCTTCATTTTCTCCGTCAGGTGCTCCACGTTGGACTGGAAGAGAGTATTTTGTTAATCAGACAATAAACTTCTACTAAGTACCTACTGTGTGCCAGGCACTGCAGGCTGGGAAGTGCCAACCAAGTGTGGCAGTGAGCGTGGCCAAGGAGGCTGCAGCTCTCGCGGCTTGGGTCTTGGGGAGCCTCCTCCCAGATAGGGAGGACACGTCTGCAGCGATGAACGCTGAGGACAGGGCACGGTGAGCAGCCCTCACGGCGGCCACTAGCAACACCTTCCAGAGTCAACAGGGTCCCTCTGAAAATGGTAATTCCGTGCTTTGCCTAGTGATCATTCATGGCTCTATTGCTCCTTGTTTATTTGCATGACGATGTTCTCGGTGCTCTCAGAGGAAAGAGTGACCTGTGGCCTTTCTATGGAATCTCATGTGACGGCCTGATGAGCAGTGTCTGACCAAAGAATTTTGTAGACTCACATTCATACACAGATTTCTTAAGGAAAAGATGGTCTTAGAGTAAGAACATCCCCATTTCAGATCATGTTAGGAGGATTACAAGAGGGAGGTAATTCTCTAATGATTCATCCTAAGAAAATGGAGGTTTTTACATCTAATCAAATCTGTCACTGGGCGCAATGGCAGAATTTCACAAAGTAGGAGGCCAGGCATGGTGGCTCATGCCTGTAGTCCCAGCACTTTGGGAGGCCAAGGCGGATAGATTGCCTGAGGTCAGGAGTTTGAGAGCAGCCTGGCCAACATGGTGAAACCCCCGTCTCTACTAAAAATACAAAAAATTAGCCAGGCGTGGTGGCAGGTGCCTGTAGTCCCACCTACTTGGGAGGCTGAGGCAGGAGAATTGCTTAAACCCAGGAGGCGGAAGTTGCAGTGAGCCGAGATTGTGCCACTACACTCCAGCCTGGGTGACAGAGCGAGACTCCATCTCAAAAATTAAAGCAAAAAATAAAAATCTGTCATAATTTCTCTTAAGCCCTTGCCATGCTGAGCGCTGGTGAGGCAGGATCTTTGGATAGATTTCTGAAATACGGTCATGAGTCATGTAACAGGGGGATATGTTCCTTGAGAAATGCATTGCTAGGTGACTTAAGCCTTGCGCAAACATCCTACAGTGAACTCACACAAACCCAGGAGGCAGAGCCTGCTGCACACCTGTTGTTCCTGGCTACAAACCTGAATGTCTGGGACTGTTGAATACTGCAGGCAATTGTGTATCTAAACATGTCTAGATGTAGAAAAGCACAGTAAGAGATACATATTTTTTGATAAAAAACATCTTTTTATAAAATATATATTATAAAAATATATGTAAAAAGATATGTTTTTATAAAAGATAAAAAACTGCACCTGTTTGGGGCAGCTCCATTATAATCTTATGGGACCCACTGTTGACAGAAACATCATGATGCAGTGAATGACTCCACAAATATTTGACATGGTAAAGAAATTCGTGATTCACATGTCACATAATTAGTGCCAAGGCCCTTTTTACTTGATCTATTTGGCTCAGAAACAAGTAACATCCTAACTTTTTAAAAGACAATGGTGCTGGGCGCGGTGGCTCATGCCTGTAATCCCAGCACTTTGGGAGGCCGAGGTGGGCAGATCACGAGGTCAGAAGTTTGAGACCAGCCTGACCAACATGGTGAAACCTCATCTCTACTAAAAATACAAAATTAGCTGGGCGTGGTGGCACGTGCCTGTAATCCCAGCTACTTGGGAGGCTAAGGCAGGTGAATCGCTTGAACCTGGGAGTTGGAGGTTGCAGTAAGCCGAGACCACGCCACTGCACTCCAGCCTGGGTGACAGCAAGACTCCCTCTCTAAATAAAGACAATTGTTCAAGTTGCATTTTATCTGCCAAGGCCTGTCATCTTGCATGAAGTTTAGCAACTTTGAATGTTGCAGGGTCCAGGCCTGGATTCTGCTGTGTCGTCCAAGCAGGGGCAGACCGCGGGGTCAGCGACACCCTTCCCTAAAAGAGCCACAGATGCCGAGAAACCACGGTCATGTCTGTGTCCGTTTAGAGGCAGACGCAGCATCAGGGGCCTCAGGATTTAAAAGAAGCTGCAGCAACCTTCAGAGCCTGTCGCAGACGTGGGTGGTGACTGTCAGCGGAGGTTCTCAAATCATTGGTGACATAAGTGAGACAACATTAACTACACAACAGACTATGTCAAACAAACAAGCTTGTGTTTCACACATGAGACTAGAAGGTGTCCTCAACCAGGCACACCCACCGTCACCTGACACGCAGTAGGGGCACCTGGGCGATGCGAAGTGTATCAAGCGTGGCATGTTCTGTAGCATCTCCATCTCCATGCCCCTTGGAAAGCAAACCACCCTAGACACGATGATTCACTCCGCAGCACCCAGTGGATCCCAAGGGGACGGGCCCTGAGGCCAGCCCCGTCACATACCTGCAGATCCCTGATGTCGAAGGGCTCTTCGAAAATGTATGCGGCATCAGCTCCGGCCGCGAGCCCCCCCATGTTGGCCAGGTAGCCACAGTAGCCGCCCATGGTCTCGATGATGAACACGCGCCGCTTGGTTCCGCTGGCGGACTGCTTGATGCGGTCGCAGGTCTGGTCACAGAGAAGCGATCAGTCACTCCAGCCCAGGCCCGGGGCGCGCCCACCATCCCAGAGCTCCCCCAAGAGTGAGTGCAGCAAGGCCCCCCCACCGCGCCCAAACATGCGGTCCCAGCATCCCGCAGAGGTGAAGGGTGTGCAGCAGCCAGGATGTGCCCTCGGAGTGGGTGTGAACGTGGTCCCCCGCAACCCCACCATGGCAGCCACCTGGAGGTGACCTCGATGTCCCGTTTTGGGGGCCTGGCCATCTGCCGCTCCCTTCTCCCAGGCCCCATAGAAGGGGACGGAAAAGACGACCCCACAAGCCAGCTCACTCCACGCTGCTCTGTGACTGTCCCTGCTGAAGCCGCTTTCACCGGACACAGACACCGTTAGGTGTTAGCTGAGATGTTAGGGGACTGTCCCCTGCCAGCTTAGTCCGTGAGAACCGCTGTGCTATTCTATTTTCTTCTGAAAAGCTCCCTGTGATTTTAGAGGTGCGGCCATCTTCCATCCATTGGCGAATGTTACATTTATGGAAACTCTACTCAAAGGCAGATGGTGGTTCTTAGACCCAGGCACCTGGGGAAGTCTTCCAGATGCACAGGCATCGGATCCCAGAGTGAAATGTCTGCCATCCGCCCTCCATGAGGACCCAAGCTCGGCGGGGAGAAAAATGGCAAAGAAATGCATCGGCCGCCTTCCCACCCATACATCAGTCCGGCTGCAACGCCCTCTTCCTGGGCCTCAGCTCCCACCCCGGGACCCTCCAATCCGTTCACACAGAAAGGACCCCATCTATAAAAAACATAAATCTGATCCAGTTCTTGGTTTATTCAAAACCCTTTGCTCACTTCAAGTACACATCAAGCCTTTGTCGGGAATCCCCGGCCCCGCCTGCTCCCGGCACCAGGTCCTGTTCCAGCCACCCCAGGTCCTCCTGGGGCCTTTGGATATGCTGGCCGCTGTGTGCATCACATTCCGGCACAGTGGTGGGCGGGAGAGCAGCCCCCAAAGGAATCCCAGTCCTATCCCTAATCCCTGGAACCTGGGAATGCTCCCTCATGCGGTGATAAAGGTGAATCCTAGGAGTACCCAGGTGGGCCTTAAATGCCATCACCTGCATCAGCAGATGAGGGGCGCAGAGGCTGAAGGCCCTGGAGCGGGATGCTGCACACCCACATGGAAGGAGGAGGCGCCAGGGAACAAGGCGTACAAGGCGTGCAAGGCCCGCAACTCTGGGCACCTGAACGGGCCACGAGGGACGCTCCTGGAGCAAACATTCTGGCCTCAGCCCATGGCTCCTGCGCTCCAGAGCTGTGGGAGAGAGTATTATTTTCCAGCCCCAGGTGTGTGGTCAGTGTCACAGCGGCCACGGGACACACAGAGGCACCTTCCTCAGCTCTGATCCAGAGGAAAATGTCATTTCCTCAGGAAAACACCACCTGGTTTCTAGGACCACAAAGTTCCCTCTGTCAGGGGCTCTCGGAGCCACCCCATGTCCTCTCTTCACAGAAATTATCCCGGTGTCTCTCCCTGCAGTTACCTTGTGGTTATTTGACTTGGGAGGATCTTCCTCACTAGGCTGCAAATTCCATGAGGACAGGAACTGTGGGCTGGGCTTACACCAGTGCACCATCAGCAGCACCCGGCCGAGCCCCCACAGCAGGCGCTCAAGAAATGCTTGTCTCTGAATGACATAAGCATGGTATTCCCCAGCCAGCCGTCCGTCCGTCCTGGTCAACGGCTGATCCTGCAGGATTCCCTAATGGGCCTCCATGGGACTCAGCCAAGAGTAAGAGCATGAAGTGGGGGTGTGGACTTGAGACTAGGAGCCACGTGAGAGTCTGTGCACCCAAGTTTAACACCCATTGGGAAATGTTCACTTGAGCACTTCGGATGAAATCTAAAAGTGCACTTTGATTAATAAATGCAGGCTTGATTAAATGATTCCAAACTGTATTTCCAGTTTCTTTGGCAGATTCTTTTCTTCCCAAAATAATTGGTTGATGTATTCAAAACTGAACACGGACTCTAGTTAGCGGGCCACTTTGCATTGTGTAGAAGCCGAGATGGGGAGAGAAACAGGCAATGGGAAGAATTCCCATCTTTGTGCTTAGGAGGACAGAGGACAGATCCCCGTCAAGGGTCCAAAGAGCCCACAACTGCCTTCTTGAAGGGCCAGTGCAGAATTCTGAGGGTTGCACTGTTCCACCTGTACCGGGTCTCTCTAAATGTGATCTAAGACTTAAGACGCTGTAAGGCTTTAAGACTTCTCCTTTGTCTTAGAGAATCCCAGGCACGGGTGGGGCCTCAGGACCCCCAGAGGCACAAAACCTCATGGGTTACTTTTCCAACTGAATCTCCCCCGCAGCCCACCCTGAGGTGGGGAATTACTGTCACTCATTCAAAGAATGACATCAACCGCTTAATGGCAAAAGAATTCTGCGGGCAAAGCAGCTCTCCCAAGAGGCTGATTTGTGCCCAGGCGTGTCTGAGTTCTGGTCCCGCCAGGCTGCCCCAGGGGGCTGTGGAACAGCGCAGCCCTGACACCTGAGCCACGCCCCCGACTGTGTGCTCGTCTCAGTGTAAACGCAGCGACAGCTGGTACGGAAGAGGCCGCCTTTGCTGGAGCTTAGATACAGCTTTCCTGAACTCTCTCCTCATTACCTAGATGGCATCTGAAGCCTGAATTAGCTTCTAAAAATAGCAAGTCACTCCGGCCGTGCCTCAGGCAATTAGTCAAAGCAGCACTGACAAGAAGGCGGCAGATCCCAAGCGCGGCCCTGCCTGCCTGCAGTGTGGCACGGAGGTGCCTCCCTGGCCTCCGAGTGGGTGGAAGGATGGCAGAGGGCTGTGTCCCAGGGCTGGCACGTGGACAGCAGCTGTGAGTGGCACTTGTCAGGCAAAGCCTGTGACCTCAGCCGTTCCCCCTGCACGATGGGATGTGCCCCCAGCAGACGCCACCCCCTGCAAGGACGCAGAGGCGATCCTGCTGCTGAGAAATTCCCCGAGGAGTCCCATGGGAGCGAGAGCCCCAGGCTACAGTTCAAACATCACCACACTTTGCTCCATGGGTGTTAAGAAATATAAATTGGTGGTGAAAGAAAAGGTGGCGTTTGCTACAGCATTAACGTAGAAAAAAGCCACTGACTTCTCTGTGAGAACCACCTTGCTCTGTGAATCTGCAGGGAGGCCAGTTTTCCCATGACTGGTATCCCTCACGGCAGCCGAGCCTCTGCTGAAGTCGGTGGCCAGACGGGACAGGGGGTGGGGGTCCTGTCCCTGCTACAGCATGGAACCCGCAGCAAAGCACAGCTGCTGGCCAGGGTAGGGCTGCGTCGCGTGTGGGGCGCGAGGGTGGAAGTGTGCATGGACATCTACAAGGTGCTAAAGGAGAGTGAAGCCAGCGATGGCCGGACCCTAATGGCATTCACCCAACAGGGGTCAAGTGCGGGGCCCAAGGAAGTCCTGGGAATGAGCCAGGGCCAGCCTCTGCAAGACCACCACAGCACTGGGGAACACAGGGAGAAGCCTAGGAGAGAGATGGCCAGGACACGCCCCTCAGCTCGAGTGGGAGGCTGAGGCTCGGACTCACAGGAAGCTGCAGCCGACCTCATGGCTCCTCTGCTCCCTTCCCTGCACTGTAACTCAGCTCTGAAGGAAGTACCCGGAATAGAACTGCTGTCTTCCGAGGTTCTGTGCTAAGCTGAACTAAGGAGTCTCCAGCAGGACTGGGAGTTTTCACTGCAAACTCCGGAGCTGGCTTGGACGTCAAGATGTAAGGTAAAGGCCAGTGGCTGCTGTCCCCGCACGCGATGCAGGCCTACCCCGGCCAGCAGTTCTGCTTTGCTGTGGGTCCCTCGCACCAGGTGGCCAAGTCACGGACGTGACCCCACATGTCACGGTGGCCACCGTCCTGTCTGCAGCTGAGTGAGGACCGTCTCTGCAGCAAAGGCCTGTGGAACTACCATAGGTCTTCATGTCCAGCTTATGACCATAGAGGTAGGTCAGAGTATCAGGGACCGGAGGGGCCACCATGTGGGTGTCAGCACCACACCCACGACTGGCAGAATCCACCCCTCCCAAGGCACATGTTGGTGAAACCGCCTGCCCAGGAGGGCGTGATTTCGGCTCTCTAAAGAGCCTCTTGTCTCACCAGGAAGGCTGTTTTCCAGGCAGCGGCCCCCAGTGGGTACGGCTCTGTCCTGGAGCTCGTACTTACCGGGCATTTACACCCCTTCCTGCAGGCTCCCACAGCTGGCCCTGCAGCCTCACTACTCAGCGTGGGCAGGAGAGGCAGCCTCCAGAGCAATGGTACCTGCGGCTCCCCTAGTCTAGGTGGGATAGAAACACGATCCCAAGGACTGGATATATCATCTCACTTTTAATCAATAAAGACAGGCTCTCCCTAAGGCAGAGAAGCTAAAAAAATTTTACCCTGTTCTGGCCAGTGTGACATAAAGCCAAGCTAACAAAGGGGAGAAAAGAAGAAGAATAAATCCGGCTCATCCTTAGCACAGAAGAAACAAGTTGCTAAAATAAATGACGGAAAAGCAATGAGAGGAAACGGGGTTCTCTTACCTCAACAACAGCATTCAGGCCAGTGTCGGAGCCCAGGCTTATTTCTGTGCCTGGGACATTGTTGCTAATCGTGGCCGGCACCACACACAGGGGGATGCAAAGCTCCTGGTGGCGGCCTCGTGCCTCGGCCATGTCGCACGCACTCTTGTAAGCCTGAAGCAGCAGGGCCAAGCGGTTAGCGGGGGTGCCGGGTGCTCACCTGCCAGCCCCAGGGCCTGTGCTGAGGTCCAGGAAGGGACGGGAGGGGACTGAGTCACCAGGGGAAGCCGGTTCATGCGGGTCAAGGGGCCGAGGGAGGCTCTGGAGGCCGTGCGAGAGCAGCACAGGCCCCAGCAACACAGGGGGCCGCCTGGGCACAGCCCAGGTCCTCATGAAAGGGGGTGCCTGCAGGCAGCACAGCGGGGTGGTGTGAGGCAGGCAACGGAGCAGGTTGCAGGCAACGGCGAGTTAGTCACGAGTGGGACAGCTCAGCTCTCGGCGTGTCATGGTAGGTAAGGGAGGCCAGGGCAGTCAGGACACTTAAAGGCAAAGCCAATCCTGTAGCTTTCTGCAGGCAGGCAAGGATCAGTGGGATGGGGCACACGGCTGTAAGGACCACACCAAATGCCCGCCTTCATCGTGCAGAGGCGGCGCCCAGGTGCAGGCAGGGAAGGGGGCATGCAGCTGGATTACCGGTGGGCCACACTCAGCCCCACGCCACATCTCTGCTCTCCGGGCGGAAGCTGCCGTTTCTGCCCTCGGCAAGCCGCACACAAAGCCGCACAGGCGAGCAAGAACCTGAGTTGCTGCTCTGGGGTTCCACTGGGAAATGCGCTCCGGTATCAGAAAGGGGAGCGGTTCTTGAGCCCGTGTACACCGGGGTTTTTCAGACTCCACCTCAGGGTGTTAACCAAAGTCACAGCAGGACAGGTCCACACGCCCACTGTTCCCACCTCCAAGTGGCCCCACACAGCAAGGTGTTTTTGACATCCACGTGGTGGCAAAACCAACTATTTATGGTCTTGGACGTGTCCGTCTTACTGTGAATATCCCCACATCTGCTGCAGAAATGCTACTGGTGGGACACAGGGCGGCGCCCACACCTCCCTGGGAGAGTCGGACAGTGAGCGATCTGGGCTCTGCAGCCCTGGTGCAACGCAAAGCATCCCAAGGCCTGGAGCCCGTGTGGGCCGAGGGCTTCGGACAGTGGGTGTAGACCCGTGGCAGGTGAGTTCACAGCACGGTGGATAGGAGGGTGGGGCGGGTGGGTCAGTGCTGGGTGACCACAAGGCGAGCTGTGAACGGGGTCAGTGCTGGGTGACCACAAGGTGAGCTGTGAGCAGGGTCCCCCGCACCCCATGGCACAGCCTCCACCTCCACCCAGGCCCAGCACGTGCCCAGCTCTTGGGCCGCTCTGTGCAGGCTCTGCCTGGCAGGCTCTGGCCATGGCAGTTTTTGCAGGACTTCAATCCAAATGCCAGCTGCTTCCCAGCCAGCAACACTCATGTCGGGGCACTGGCTGGCCTGGTGCCCAGGATGTGGCCCCTCAGCACCGCCACGTGGGAGTCTCCTTATGCTTTTCAGACAGGTGATGTCGCTCACTTTACTGTGGAATACCCGAGCTCAGGACTGACCAAGACTGGCTGTGGGGAGCCGGCTGTTTCTCCGAGAAGCGCTCGCTGGAAGCCAGACGGTGTGGGTGACCTGGGACCAGGAGGGGCCTGAGGCACACAGGAGGGCAGGTGGGGGTCTCGGCAGCTTAACTCCACATTGAAATCTGTGGGGACAGCCACAATGCTGCAAATCCTCTCTCCCCTCTTCCCTATCACTCCTCTTTTCCTTCCTTCAGTCTCCAAAAAAGGGAAGGGAAGCTTCAATACGGGGGAGACCCTGCCCAGCAAAACATAAAATTCTCAAGACCAAGCGCAGCCAGGCTGTGAATCAGTCACGAGGCTGTGGTCACTGCCACCTTCGCGGCAGCTGACGGCAGCGTGGCAGCAGCTTACTGTGCTTCTGATGTGACCTTATCGAGCTTACAGGACGGAGTAATGGGCCAGTGCTAAGGAATGAAAGGGTCGGACTGAAACTCCCTGCAGCCGTATCCTGAGAACGTGTCACACCGGCTCTGAGGTATCTCATTCCTTCTGCTCTGCCCGGAGGACCACTCACCAGCACCGCATAGATTCTGAGGGGCTAAGCATCAATGCTGGCAAGAAGGAAATCATGAGAGAGGACGAGGACGCACGTGTCCAGAGAAGATGAGGCTTCACCACATCAGCCCCGCCCAGGGCTTCCGAAGCACAACACGGCGACATCCTGAGCCAGACTCCTATTATGGAGCCCACCCTGTGCTCTGAGGGACGTTCCGCAGCGTCCCTTGTCTCCAGCCCCAGATGCTGGGAGCATCCCTTTTCCCACTTCTAACCAGAAACCTCCCTGGACGTTGCAAACATCCCCTGGGGCAAAATCACCACCCCTGCCCCCATGAGAATCACCAAATTTTCTGAACAATAGAAGCCAGTATACTGGAGCCATCTACAGACCTCAAACCTAAATGCTGCCCAGGGCCATGCCATGAGTCACCAGTCACAGAGGGTGTGGCCGGACAGGGAAGAGACGCTCACTCCCATGCGTCCTCAGCCTCCGGCGGCTTCAGGACAGTGGCCGGGGGGACCCGGAGCCATCCACGTCCAGTTGCCTCACACCCTGATTTCCTGAGGACGCCACCAGCTCATGTTCTTCTATGGCCAGACGAGCCCAGTTCAGACCCAAATCCAAACCTTCTCAGGATTCACACTGTTCGGCCGTCAGTAAACAGGGCTCTGGAGAAAACAGCTGCCATGTTCACATATCGGTCCCTCTCCCTTCAGGGTCCACAGAGGGACCCTCAGCGGCTTTCTCTTCTCTGTCCCAGCTCCCCAGCAGCCACAGCATTCGCCAGGGTGACCTCGGTCAGACGGCGCCACTCACCCATCACGAGACTAGAACCACCGCACTCCCAAGACAGCCTTGTTCCTTGGAGCTCAGGATCAGAAGGGCAACAAGGACACACACATGCACTTACCAAGGTGGCTGTGCCTGGCCAACGGGAGGCTCAACTAACTACACGCTCCAGTTCTTTCTCAGACATTGTAATCAGTTAACTTCAGGCCCGGCGCGGTGGCTCATCCCTGTAACCCCTGTGCTTTGAGAGCCCAAGACAGGGGGATTGCTTGAGCCCAGACGTTTTGAGACCAGCCTGGGCAACACAGGGAGACCCCGTCTCTATGGAAATACAAAAAATTAGCTGGGCACGGTGGCACCCACCTGTAGTCCCAGCTACTCAGGAGGCTGAGGTGGGAGGATCACCTAAGCCTGGGAGGTCGAGGCTGCAGTGAATAGCGATTGCAGCACTGCATTCCAGCCTGGGAAACAGAGTGAGGCCCTGTCTCCAAAAAAAGAAAAAAAAAAAAAAAAAAAAAAAAAAAGAAAAAAAAAGAAATTGTTTAACCTAGCTTCGAGAAACTCGAATGAATGAAAAACTGCATTTAAAACAATCGCATAATAAATCACACAATCCCTCCAAGGGAAGTAAAAGCAGGTGGAAATGATCATTTGTGGGGTGTTTTTGCCCCACGTATTTTGGTTTTCATAAATTTGACCCTATGCATTTGTTACATATTTACAATCTGAAAAAAAAAAAAAAAAAACAGTTATTTATAGCAGAGGACCCTGGAATTAAAAAGAAACTCAGCTAACTGCAGCGACCGCTCTCAAATTCTCCACCCGTTCCCTCTGGGCGAGTTCCAATTAGGTAACAATTAGGGAAAAAAGAAGCTTCAGTCCCTCCCATTGCACACCCAACTTTCACAGACCCAAAAATCTAGCTAAAGCAGGCGAAAGAGCAGTGAAAGCAATGACGGAATCCAGTCTGTGAAAGAGGCTCATCTTCACATTCACAGTGCGAAGGTAGGTCCAGAGCCGGGCCAGCCCCGCAGCAGCAAAGCCGTGACACCCACCACCAGGAGAACAGAAGCAACGTCTAGGTCAGAGATTAGCAACTGCCAAAAATAAGGTGAAAGTTGCCCCCAAAGCCAGTGAACACAGGAAAACCTGGGCAGGTTTCCTTCGCAAAGAAAGTGAAGAAAGTTTAAAACGCTCAGAAAAGCAAGAAACGAGTGCTAAGCATTACTTACCATATGAGCTGTATGTTAAAAGCTTGTTTTTTTATTTACCAGTGCTAGAAATAAGTTTCATGCCAAGGTTTTACAAGAAAAAATATCTTTGAAAAATATTCATGAGAACCAAGTCTCACAAGAAAAATTAAAACTTGAGAATTACTACAAACTTTTAGACATCAAATTTTAAAAAAATGAAATGCTTTCTGTGTTAGGTACGGATCTTCAAACTCCCACATCAATTACCAAGCGTGACACACAAACATGGGAATAGGTGTATATTTCTTTTAGCCGGGAATGGTGGCACATGCCTGTGGTCCCAGGTACTCGGGAGGCTGAGGTGAGAGGATCACCTGAGCCCGGGAGGTCGAGGCTGCAGTGAGCTGAGATCACACCACCGCACTCAAGCCTGGGTGACAGAGTAAGACCCCGTCCCACAAAGAAAAAAAGAAGAATATATTTCTATGTTTTATTATTGTCTCTTGGCAAAAAAACTAAAGTAGCACCAATTATTGCCTTAGAGGTAATTTAACATCCCCAGTTTACAAAGGGGAAAATGAGGTCAACAGCCAAGACCAGAGAGATAACAAATGCAATGGTGCATTCAGGGCAATGAATAAAATTATAAAATATTCAGTTCAATTTCTACCCTCAGCATCAAGGCAGGGGTTCATCATAATGGGTATTGGAGGCTCAAAGAAAATTTAGGCTCAGCACACACACACACACACACACACACACACAGCGATTTTTAATGCTGGTACAATCACAGGAGACTGCGACCCAGCCCTCCTCAGCGCCTCGGGTGCTCACGGGCACCCCTGGAGTCTCGGCCACACTACGTCCCCCTGGTGGCCACACAGAAGAAGAGGTGGTAAAACTCTCTGGGAGTGAGATCAAAAATTTTCAGAGTCTTAAAACATACTTTTCTGGGGGAAAAAAAGAACGAGAAGCTCTCATTCAGGGTATTTGTAAAAGGCTATTTCTAGCGCACTGGTAGATAAAAAGGGCCGGGGCCCCGGGGTTAGCGTCAGCCGGCGCCCGCCTGGCAGGGCGCACACGGACTTACGTCGGTGATAGTGTTCAGGGCGGTGTCTGCCCCGATGCTGAAATCGGAACCCGGCACATTGTTGGACACAGTAGCGGGAACCATGACCATGGGGACACAGAACTCCTCGTGCTTCTCCCGGGCGGCTGACAGCTCCAGGAGTCCCAGGTAGGCCTGTCAGACAAGCGTGGGAGTTGTGGGGCGAGAGGGAAGCTGGGGAGGAGAGGGTCTCGCTGGGAGAGGCTGGGAGCGCCACCTCCACCACAGCACGCAGGGAGCACACTGGGGCATCACGAAAACACTCCGAGATCAACACACAGTTGCCTTAAGACCACAGACAAGGATCGGCAGGTTGTAAGCACAAAGGGCGCAGGACAGACATGATCGGTTAGATGACTAAACCTCTCATGGGTAAGAGTCTCATTTCTGAGGTTCTTACTTTGTTTTTGTTTTTGTTTTTTGAGACGGAGTCTCGCTTTGTGGCCCAGGCTGGAGTGAGGTGGTGCAATCTCGTCTCACTGCAACCTCCGCCTCCCGGGTTCAAGCGATTCTCCTGCCTCAGCCTCCCGGGTAGCTGGGACTACAGGCACCTGCCACCACACCCGGCTAATTTTTATATTTTAGTAGAGACGGGGTTTCACCATGTTGGTCAGGCTGGTCTTGAACTCCTGACCTCAGGTGATCTGCCCGCCTCGGCCTCCCAAAGTGCTGAGATTACAGGCGTGAGCCACCGCGCCCGGCCAGTTTTTACTTTTTCTAAAAGTAAATGGAAAGGTTACCATGGGACTAATCTTCATGAATAGAAAAAATATTAGGGTCTACAGTCCAATATGTGATTTTAAACAAAATTCTAGGTATAACTACCTTAGTCTCTAAGTAGCCACTGGACTCTGGACTCAAGAGATAGAATTACTTCCACAGGCCTGAAATACATTAAGAGCTCACTGAATAGATGAGGCCCGGGTTAAGGAGTCAAGCTTTTGCTTCTCGGTTAAGTTGCTTTACTGGAACTGGGCCACTCGTAGGCCACGTCTTACCACCTGCTATCCTGCTGTTCTACAATTCTCCAGTGGCCGCTGGGTCTGGGAACCTATCATCTCGGATCGTGGCCAGTAGCCAACAAGTAGCTTAATGTTTAGCCAACACAGGGCGCGGCTCACACCTGCAAGACCGGCAAGAGAGAAACGGTAACGTACCTCGAATCCACCGATGATCAGCAGCGCGTTGATGCTGTGCGTGCGCATCTGTGTGGCGATCTCTTCCAAGTACTTCCCCGGGAGAACGCTGAAAATAGCCACGTGGAGAACGATGTCAGACACCCCAAACTCCACGCGGTCCGCAGGACGCCACGCCGGTCCCCACCCGGCCGCCTTCCCCAGTCTGTGGTTTTAATTAAGGAGCGGTAAACGTCTGCCTTTTCACTCATGCCGTTGTGGCTGGCAGATGGCAGAATGACCAGGAATCTCATCTCAAAACAGTGTTTTCATGAGAAAATGGAATAAAGCATTTCAGCTCATACCTTGACCTAAAAAGAACTCTACTGCCCCATTAGAAAAAATAAAATTAAGAAGTTATAATTAATAACAATTTTTTTTTTCCAAGATGGAGTCTCACTTTGTTACCAGGCTGGAGTGTAGTGGCGTAATCTCAGCTCACTGCAAGCTCCGCCTCCCGGGTTCAAGTGATTCTCGTGCCTCAGCCTCCCGAGTAGCTGGGACTACAGGCGCCCGCCACCACGCCCGGCTAATTTTTTGCATTTTTAGTAGAGACAGGGTTTCACCATGTTGGCCAGGATGGTCTCCATCTCTTGACCTCCTGATCCACCTGCCTCAGCCTCCCAGAGTGCTGGGGTTACAGGTGTGAGCCGCCGTGCCCAATAATTGTTTAAATGGAAATTTCCAGTTTCCAAATAACTTACATATGCATTATCCACTATTGATCTCATTTAAAATCCCATCTGCTCATACCTGCTCTCCCTCCCCCATGCTCTCACCAATGTCACATGACAGGGCTAACAAGTGCAACACCAGACTGTGCCCCTCCCTGGATCCCATCCCAAGCCCATCCAAAGGTTTCATGTTGATTGGAAGAAGTGAAGTACTTGTACTCTTGGTAGATTTATAAGACACCGTAGGGCAAAAACGTTCAGGCCAGGCAATCAGAGCAGACAAGTGAATGCAGCTAAGTGCAAACCTGTGCTGGCCCCTAAGGTGAGGTTTCTTAAGCCTCTTCAGGACGAGCCCACAACAGCCAGCGAGTCCTCTCTACGTTCGAGAGCAACGCCCTGGCCCTATCAAGCACCTGTGCCCGGGGTGTCAGCAGCCAGTCCTCAGCCCCAGAACGCACACCGAGGGATGCATCTGCCTCTACCTAGAGCTTTACCGTCCAGGGCACCCACACACAGAGCTCATGAGAACAGCCGGGAGGCAGCTGTAGAGCTAACCCAGCTCCGAGGCTCCCACCATCCCACCAGTGGCTGGGAGTACCAGGGTCCTGGCTGTAAAGCAAAGCAAAGGGTGCAGCTAACTCCCTTGGAACAATAAGCCGGAATTACATGGAATCCATCATTTATTATATTTGCCAAAAACTACCTTCCTTCCATGTGAAATTGTAATGTGTAGTGATGACAGAGATTAATATTCGCACCTCTGACATGATCAAAGGTGAGAATTACTCAGGCTTCATCTACATTAGGAAATCCCATTGTCCCCAGGGATGCAGGGACGCCAGGCTTACTGTAGGTCTGAAAAAGAGATTTTTAGACTAGAATTCCTTGGGTCCTTTCCTCGGCTGTGGAAATCTGAGCCTCGAGTCACAGCTGCTCAGGGCTATGCTTCCCACCAATGCTACCTGCTATCCAGGCTGCTTTAGGGTTTGCTTAGAGTGCCATCTCCACGGCTCCGTGACACCACTCATCTTTATGACCTCCAAGTGGAGGCTTTAGGCTCGCCAGCTGGCTTTTCAAATGAATGGAAATATGAATTAGAGGAAGGCATTCACAAGTTACCTCCTCTTCTCTCTTACGCCCTGGGACACATCCCCAGCTCCCTGGAACACGGGCAGTTCCACTGGAGGGAGGACCGGTAACTGCCTGCACCCCTCCCTTAGGGACGCCTTTCCAGGAATCCAACTGGCGTCGGCACCCAGCGATTCTCTCCCAGAACACGGCTCTTCCTTCTTCCTTAAAAGCAGGTCATAGAGTTGAGATTTGGAAGTTACCGTTTTGTCCCAAGAATGGAGCCTCCTTGGCCGGTCCAGCCCCCGACATCTGTCCAGCCGATTTCTTTGATCTAATGTGCAAACACAGAACGAAACAGCTAAAGTGAACAATGAAAGGCAAGTTGCAAAGTGCTAAAAATAGCTTTCTGTACTTTTCAACAAGCTGCATTCCGGTAAAGATTTGAGAGGCGTATGAGACAGCATTTATCACGATGCCCGGATGAATCAAGGTGAGAAGCAGAAGTCCAAGGTTAACAACTCATGAAGAGCAGCAGAGGGGCTGCGTTCTCCCTGCCTGTCGGGGCCTCTGTGTCTCATCCTGAGCCACGTGTGAGATACATCAGCTCACCGTATCCCGCCACCGGCAACTAAAAGAAAAGTAACATGATGGTTTCTAAGTTGGTAAAAGATTAAGGGAAAATTTCTTTTCTTACAAACTAGGGAGAAAAAAGGAAAACAGATTACTAAGCAAACTAAGGTAATCGCAGAAAGAGGATGCCACTGCGAGGACGGCAGGACTGCAGGAGGAGAACCCGTGGGGCTCGAACCCCAGCTCCGCAGCTTCCGGTCACGAGATTCTGGGTAAGTTCACGGATGTGGTGGACACACTGCCATGCTGCAGGGGGATCTCCAGGTAAATTACATTAGAAAAAAGATCATTCTACATCAAAAGGTAAATACTGTACAAGGTGTGTATGTATATATATATATATTTGACAGAACCATATAAATCAGGCTTTTTTTTCCCACATAAATCAGTTTTGAAGGCAATATTTTTTAAATAAAGCAAATACCAGTTTTAAGCCAATTAATCTTCACAAGTCTGAACAAGAAAGACGGGGAAAGCAAGATCCACCCAGGACAGAACGGTTCCTCATCCGGTTCCTGCTGCTGAGATGCGGGTGGATGGGCCAACACAGAAGGGCGGGCAGTGGTGGTGGAAGGTGGATCATCTGTGTTCCCAGGGATGCCACAGGGCATCTCCACCCCACCTCTCTGCCACTCCTCAGTCTCCTGGGCTGGGGTTTCCTCTTCCCACCCTACTCTTAACAATGGCGCCCTGAGGAATCAGTCCTGGACCTTCTCTCTCTCCTGCCTGCACTCAGGCCCTCAGGGAAGCTCTGTGAGTTCTGCATCTTTAACTACGTGGAGACGCTGAAGATTCCTAAACCCATGAGCTCAGCCAAACCCTCCTGAAGATGCTGGGACACAGCGGCTTACTGCACATTCTTGGCCACGGGACACACACCTTCACCCTGGCATCCCCAGTCCTGTCCTCAGCTGAGGGACACACACCTTCACCCTGGCATCCCCAATCCTATCCTCAGCTGTGGGACACACACCTTCACCCCAGCATCCCCAGTCCTGTCCTCCATGGCGGGACACACACCTTCACCCCGGCATCCCCAGTCCTGTCCTCCATGGCGGGACACACACCTTCACCCCGGCATCCCCAGTCCTGTTCTCAGCTGCGGGACACACACCTTCACTCCAGCATCCCCAGTCCTGTCCTCCGCCGTGGGACACACACTTTCACCCCAGCATCCCCAGTCCTGTCCTCCGCCGTGGGACACACACTTTCACCCCAGCATCCCCAGTCCTGTCCTCGGCCGTGGGACACACACTTTCACCCTGGCCTCATGAGTCTCCGCTCCTCATCCTACCTGCAAGAAGTGTGTCTCAGGGCTTCCTAGTCCTCATAAATTGCAACTCTACCCTTTCCATGTGCTCAGGCCAGGAATGGAGTGATCCTTGCCTCCTCTGTTTATGCCTGCGTGTACTTAGCAAGCAAACCCCATCTGCCCTCCGTGCCCTCCATACCTCCAGACCCTTGAAGGTTTCTCGCCATCTGCACAGTAGCCAGTCTGGACCCACCATCTCTTGCTAGGTGACTGCAAAGCCCCGGCTGGGAGCCCTGCCTCCTGCCTCAGTGAACAGCAGCGGGTCCCTTTAGAAAGCTCTTGGTGTGGGCCAGTCCCTGCTCAGGACCTTCGAATCTCACATAACATAAAAGCCAACCTCCTCAGGCTGCCCACAAAGAAGCCGGCCCTGCCCCTGCAGTTCCCATCCTCACTGCCCTGTGCGGGCTTGGAGCCCCCGCCCCTGTGAGCATCAGCTCCAGAGCATCCTTTCCCTCCACCTGGGATGAGTGTCCCCTGAGGGCCCCATGAGCCACCAGCAGCCTGGGAGCACCTTCCCCAGCATTGCTGTCTGGGGGATCTCCAGCAGGCCCTCCTCGGCATGCCTCTGAGCACTGCTCACCATCCAGAGAGCAGGAGGATCCTCAGCCACTGTCCTCTCTCCCCATCTATAAACGCAGTCTCCACGGAACCAGAGAGTTGTGTCTGCTTTGCTCACTCATTTAATTCCTCAGCATAAGAATTCCACAAAGTAGGAGGCTGGGCACGGTGGGTCATGCCTGTAATCCCAGCACTTTGGGAGGCCAAGGTGGGTGGGTCACCTGAGGTCAGGAGGTCAAGACCAGCCTGGCCAACATGATGAAACCCCATCTCTACTAAAAATACAAAAATGAGCTGGGCGTGGTGGCGCGTGCCTGTAATTTCAGCTACTCAGGAGGCTGAGGCAGGAGAATCGCTTGAACCCAGGAGGCAGAGGCTGCAGTGGGCCAAGATCACGCCATTGCACTCCAGTTTGGGCAACAGAGCGAGACTTCGTCTCAAAAAAAAAAAAGAATTTCACAAAGTAGGTATTTGTTGGCTAATCAGATAAACAAATAGCCACAAGTTCAGCCCCTGGTCAGGAGCTCAGAATCCTGTTTCCAGTCCTCCCTCGTGCACCCAGCCCTATGCCTCGGTTTTCTTGTGAGGAAAATGGGGATAACATCTTAGATTTAGTGTGAGGCTTAAATGGGTGAACACATGTCAATCCCACAGAACAACTGGATACAGCACACATCAAGGGGTGTTACCTGTGTTCACTAAGGTTTGTATTTCAGTGGGTGCTTGTGCACACCAGACACTGCCTGCTTTCCCTCCAGTGCCCGGTTTAAACAAACCACAGCCTCCGAGACAACGCCACCTTCCTTCTCACCTAATGTCAGGGCCATCAGACCCCAGAGGCACTGCCATCCCCCAGCACCTTTTCAGAAAATTCAAAAGCACATCATACCCTGGGCTCCATCTGAGGGCCTGAAACCTACCTTAGGGTGAGATTTTACTCCAGAAGCAATGCTTCAGTCACAATATCACAGGATCCCGGACTGAGGCATGAAAAGGTATGAGGGCCATGGAGGGCACCCCCCCGCCGCCACGTCCACTGTGCTCACAGCCAGGGTGTCTGCCTGCCTACGGCATCCTGGGTGACTCACCTGGCCCTTGGCGAAGCCGTCAAAGCCATCATAGATGGCGAGCATCCTGTGGCCGTCGGCAATGCCCACGCGCACAGCTGAGCGTACGGCTGCGTTCATCCCAGCCGCGGGTGCCCCCACGTTGATGACAGCTACGTTGCAATTGGTCTGCAAAACAGAAGGCAGGTGAGTGCTGGGTCACGGGCACACGTGAGCTCCATTTGCTGCACACTTTGGCAGTGGCTCATGCCGTGCCAGGCCTGAAAACAGGTGGCCTCATTCACTGAGGCAGAGGCCATGAGGGGAGGCCCGCAGGAGAGGTCGGGGCATCGCGGGAGGCCGGCCACCTACCTTTGGGATCTGATCATCCGGCAGCTTGATGGCAAGTCGCTTGTAGGTGTTCAGGTTGCCCGCAAAGCTCCTAAAGGAAAAGGGTGTCGTTGGACCGGAGTCGAGAATACCGGACACAACTCAGGGCTCATGTGGAGAAAAGGTGGCTTATCTGCCAGCACTCAATGTGTCTGCCCGACTATCTGGGCAGAAGGAGGAGGCCCCAGGGTTCCATGTGCATGGCAGAGCCCTTAGCCGCGACCCGCGGTGCTGTCCGTGTCTGGTGGAAATGGACTAAGAGAAAAGGGCACGCTTCTACACTTCATAACTTTCTCTTGCAAGACATGCGTGCGGTGGCTCAAGCCTGTAATCCCAGCACTTTGGGAGGCTGAGGCGGGTGAATCATTTGAGGTCAGGAATTTGAGACCAGCCTGGCCAACATGTTGAAACCCCGTCTGTACTAAAAATACAAAAATTAGCTGGATGTGGTGACATGCACTGGTACGAGCTGGTAGTCGCAGCTACTTGGGAGGCTGAGACATGAGAATTGCTTGAACATGGGAGGCAGAGATTGCAGGGAGCTGAGATGGCACCACTGCACTTTAGCCTAGGCAACAGAAGGAGACTCCTTTTTTTGTTTTGGTTTGTTGTTAAAGGGCCACAAGTCACCTTGTGCCTTAATCTCATTAGCTCCTAAACAACCATCACCTTACCAAAAAGGACCAATGGCAAATTTAGAAAATGATTTCTCTCTAACCAGTCACCAGGGCCTGCTACTGCAAGAGCGGTGCTGTGAGTACTGCCTGACTTTCTGATTTTTCACAGTGACATGGAATAAGCACAACCCCTAAGCACGTTTGCAGTGGCTGGGCCTGAGGGGTGTGTGTTCCTGACAGGGCAGAGCTTTCTCCAAAGCACCTCACCTCCCTCGGAGTCGAACCGCATCTTGAAATCTCCTCTCGTCCATCGCCTTCTGCACATCCTGAGTCTTTTAAAACAATGATGAAAAGAAGAAAGAATGTGTCAGGACCTGGTGCATCATGGATGGGGTAGGTAGAGACTGGCTCGGTCCTTCCCACCAGCCCCCTCCAGTCTGACCCGGGCAGCCAGCAGCCCCAGGGTTAATGGTCTAGACGACCGGCCGCCAAGTGTGTCCTAATGCTGGTTGGCAGCCAGCCCCACACGGCCCGGCTGTGAGGTCAGAGCCCTGGGACTGCTTAGCTCAGGAGGCTTCTGAGGAAAAAGAGAAGGTGTCACCTGCTGTTTGTGGACACAACACTGTGAAGATTTAACTCCAAGAGAACAAAGCCAGAGGAAATGAAATCTCTCAGGCATGGTTCTAAGGAATTCTCAATTTGATTATGGTGGGGAAAAACAAAACAGAACACACCAGCTCACTGGGGGATGTGGGATGGGAGCGAGGTCACAGCGGGCGGGGGAGCAGAGGGGCCCGGATGGAGGCCCTGGGACACGGGGCTGGGACTGATGCACGCCAGGCAGCCCTGGGCAACGTCAGGATCTTGGTCAAGTTCTTTCTCGCTCTGAACTTCAATTTCCTCATCTGTAAGATGAGAAAAATACTCCTACTTCCAGCTATCTCTAAGGTTATTCAAGCATGTCAGACCCTCAGGAAGACGCCTGACAAACAGCAGGTGCACAGTAGTGGTCCCTCAGCTTTAAAAACAAAGCCACACAAGGGTGGTTTCAAGGTCAGGGCAAGTGACACCTACCACGGTCGTCTCTAGACAAGCAGAGACATGAGACACAGGCTCAAAATACACGTACCGCATGTCGTTCAGTGCTCTGAGCCTTTTAAGCCTACTGCCTCTCACATGCACACAGGCACACACTAACGTGCAGACACACACTACCTCACACTCCAACATACACACATATGCACATAAGCATACCTGCACACACAAACATGCAGACACACGCTACCTCACACTCATGCCAACATGCACACATCTGCATAGAAACATACCTGCACACACACACAAACATGCAGGCACATACTACCTCTCACAAACATACACACACATCCATATAAACACATGCACACACAGACATGCACACACTATCTCAAACATGCTCACACATGCATATAAGCATACATGCACACACATGCAGATGCATTACCTCACACACATATATACACATGCATATAAACATACATGCACACACTAACATGCAGAAACATACTACCTCACACTCAAATGTACACATGCATATACACACATGCACACACACTAACATGCACACACACTACCTCACAAAAACATGCACACACGTACAAACATGCATGCACACAAACATGCACACACATACATGCAGACATACTACCACAAACATGCATACTCATGCATATAAACATACACATACATGCAGACCCAAACTACCTCACAAACATGCACACACATGCATAAATATATGCATAAACCTGCATGTATATGCATATACAGAGATACACATGCACACACATATACATACATACACACAGAGACACAAGCCTGCGCACACACTCACACACATACACACAAATACTATTTTCTCCCTTGGGCTTTTGGAAATTATGTTTACAAGGTGACTTTCAACAAGTCCCTGACTTGATTGCTTCACGACTTCTTTGTGTGTGTTAAGAGGCAACAAAACAGGAGTCACGAATCATGAATGAACTCTGAAAAATAAAACAACAGCTGGGCGTGGTGGCTCATGCCTGTAATCCCAGCACTTTGGGAGGCCGAGGTGGATGGATCACAAGGTCAGGAGATCCAGACCATCCTGGCTAACACGGTGAAACCCCACCTCTACTAAAAATACAAAAAAAAAAAAAAAAAAAAAAAATTAGCCAGGCGTGGTGGTGGGCACCTGTAGTCCCAGCTACTCGGAAGGCTGAGGCAGGAGAATGGCGTGAACCCAGGAGGCGGAGCTTGCAGTGAGCCAAGATCACGCCACTGCACTCTAGCCTGGGCAACAGTGAGACTCCGTCTCTAAATAAATAAATTAATTAATTAAATAACTTCAAATGCAGCTAACTCCACAGCCACCTCCACTACTGAACCAATGCCTGAAAAGCTGGAACTGCTTTTCCCTTTGTTCATTTGCAGGCAGACAGTTCCCTGGCCCAAGAAGGGTGGGTGTATCTTCGGGTGACCAGAGCTTTCCCTGTGTCCCATCACAGACCTGAATGTCCTTGGGGATAGGAGGACAGGAAATGGCTGAAACTGGAGAAGTTTGGGAAGGTCCCACCTTCCCCTACAAAATACCACCCTGTAGATCTCTCTCACGCCCGCCTCCCTGCCTCCCTGCCCCCTCTGCCCCATGGGTCTCTCTCACGCCCGCCTCCCTGCAGTCTGTCCACGGATCTCTCTCTCTCGGCTGCCTCCCTGCACTCTGTCCTTCTGCAGCACCTGGTGCACTGGGGCCACCTGGATCCTCGACTGTTGAGGATCCCGATGCTCTAGACCCCCACTCAGGGGAGGTTACGACTATGTGCCACACAGATGGATGGTAACTTAGAAAACCAAAGAGCGAAGACGGCGCAGGCTCTGCAGGTGTGGGAGAGAACATAAGCCTTCTCCCTCCCCACGGGCAGCTCACCTCCTTCTCAGAAAGGCCGTGTAATGCATCGTGCACCGACGAGACACCCAAGGTGCCCAGGCTGGCCTGACAAGCAGCTTCTGTCCCAGCCGTCTCCGCCCTGCCCTTGGCCATGGGCTGCCCACTCACCATCTGCACGCACTCCATCAGCGGCAGGCGCACGGCGTGGTTCCCGTTCAGTGACACGACGCAAGCTGGGGTGTCCGGGGTGGCCTCTAGCAAGGCGATGACTGCCTCCACTCCCATGCGGCTGGCCTGGAAACCAGGTCCATGTGGGTCAGGGGCAGCCTCCCGTCCTGCCCTGTCCCTGTCACCTCCTATCTTTCCATGACGTCCAATGACCTCAGTCAGGTGCTCACAGCCCCTCCCGCTTCCAGCCCAACTCTTTAGAGCAAAGCGATTTCCACTCCTTTAGAACTGGCAAGACGGGAACAGAGAGGAGGTCAGGGCACATGGAGAGCAGGAGTGTTAAGAACTGAGGGTTTGTACTTGGGATTCCTGCTGCCCTGAGTCAGTTTCCAGAAACTCACTAGAAACACAGCCTTTCTGCCCTGGGATTGTGCCCTCTGGGGTCCACGTCGTGCCAACACCAAGCACTGCCTTCCCACATTAGGGAGCTCTCCCCGCATCTGAATGGCTGCAGGCCTAGAGACTGGTCTACACCAAAGGTCTCAAGGATCGTTAAGATGAGGGCCGGGCCGCGGGCATCTCTCGGGGAGCACCTTGCCAGCCTCTGTGGCCGGCTGGTGCCTGTGCCTCTCCAGAAACGCTTCCTCCTAGAGACCTTGTGAAGATGCCCAACCCTTCCCAACTCACCAAGATCCTGTCGAATGCCGAAGGGGTCCCTCCTCTCTGCACGTGCCCGAGGATGGTCACACGTGTGTCATAGCCCAGCTGCGTGACGACAAGCTGCAAGGAAACATCTCGTTAGGATGCGGAACTGTGATGCGGACACAGCAGCCCAGATCTGGAAGGAGGTACTGGGCACTGGAAAAGGTTTTTCGCTCTTTCTTCAGATCTAAATGGGAAAAGTTATTTCTAAATTTTGTTTCCTAGCAGAACGTTTAGTGTATATAACAGGCAGCTGAAAATTGGTTTTAAAAATAATACTGTTGTTACCAGACAAGATCTTGGCTCGCACCTAGAAAATGAATACAAGTAATATGTTCGTTGCTTTAAAAAAGAAAAATAAAAAAGTAACGTTTCAGTAGCTTGCATTTAAACTATTACTTATATTTTACAAAAAATGTAAACATCTTCCTTGAACCAGCTTTAATTTGTTCAGCTGTGATTTGAACAGCACAAGCCAGCCCAATCAAGGCGTTCCCCTCGCCCCAGCCCATGGGCACACCGGCCCGGTGATCTGGAGAGGCCACTGACTGTCTCTGGAACTCAGCTTATTCCTCTGTAAGGACAGTGGGGCTGGGCTACGTAAATTCCTTGGTTCCTTCTCGGTCCATTGTCCTATAATTTAATTACAGTTAAGCGGGAAATAAAATCTTTGCCTGGACTTTATGGATGACCACTTATAAATATTGGCAGATGTCTTTCCCAGGTGTCCATCACTGTTTTCATATCCAGAGATATGCTTTGCTCCTTAACTGACCATAACAAAGCACAATAAAGAAGCCGACTTGCAAAGCCAGGTGGGGACGTCTTCTGCCCCGTGGCTGCTGGAGCCACAGCCCATCCCCAGCCCCGGCAGCCTGCAGCCCCGTCTACAGCAGGGGCACAGCCCATGGTATCAGAGTCCTCTCCAGACAGGCAGGCACTGGCCTGAGCAAGTCCCAGGGCACGAAGCCTGCCAAAGCCTGCCAAAGCCTGTTCCCAGGCAGGGCCACGAGGACACAGTGGCTTTGTAAGAATGTGCTCAGCTGATGCTCTGGGTTATGGGAGGGCACAGGGAATAGCAAGACGCCGCCTTTTCCCACTGTGGCAAACAGAAGCCCGGGTCGGCTGCCAAGTGGTCAGTCCTCATTCTCAGAGCAGCTCATGTTTAAGAGCCGGAACATTCTAATCCAAAGAACACGCGTGGCCACTCGAGCTGACCCCCTCTGTCTGCTGGGGAGTCCCGGAACCTCTACGGGCTCGGCAAGAGGTGACGTAAGCGGAATGGGCTCCCAGGAGCGGGAGCTGCGTGTTTCCCCTGCCGTCCAACTTCTGAGTCATTATGAAAATGTTTTAAATATCAAGGATAAAAAGTTAATAATTCAATGTTCTAAACCAAGCCTGCCCATGACGCTAGCCTCCCCTGCTTCCAGGCAGAAACCGAGAGAAAGTGAGCAGCTACACACACTCACCTCTTTGATTTTCTCAGAGGTGATGGGTTTATTTTGGGTATCAATTGCTCCTTCAGCCACAATAATAATATTCAGCCTTTTTTTCCGGGCACGGTTCTGTGGAGACAGAAAATTAAAGCTCTCAAATTCCTAATCCTGTTCTTAGCAACAAATGCAACAAAACCACAGAAGTCTGTCTCAAACTGAACTGGCCTCTTTCTGGGCAGGAATCTTTGCCTAACTTCCTAAGAGCTGCTTCCCAATGACATCAGAAGGTGGTGAAAGGTGTGCTGGGTGACAGCAGGGAGGGACAGGGGTGAGAGGAGGGGCAGGGGCGAGGAGAGGGGCAGGGGTGAAGGGGCAGGGGCAGGGTGAGGAGAGGGGCAGGGGTGAAGGGGCAGTGCAGGGGAGAGGAGAGGGGCAGGGGCGAAGGGGCAGGGGCGAGGAGGGGGCAGGGGTGAAGGGGCAGGGCAGGGGCGAGGAGAGGGGCAGGGGTGAAGGGGCAGGGGCGAGGAGAGGGGCAGGGGTGAAGGGGCAGGGGCGAGGAGAGGGGCAGGGGTGAAGGGGCAGGGGCGAGGAGAGGGGCAGGGGTGAAGGGGCAGGGGCAGGGGTGAGGAGAGGGGCAGGGGTGAGGACAGGGGTAGGGGTGAGGACAGGGGCAGGGGTGAGGAGAGGGGCAGGGGTGAGGAGAGGGGCAGGGGTGAAGGGGCAGTGGCAGGGGTGAGGAGAGGGGCAGGGGTGAAGGAGCAGGGCGGCTGTGGCTCACTGGAAGAGAGCTCTTTGGGACTGGGAGCTCACATCACCACCGCAGATAGAAATGTGGCCCCCAGTCAGCCCCAGGTGGAGGGTGCTGGTGTGATTGACAGGGGTTCCCATGGGGAAGGACACACAGGTGGACGCCCCACAGGCGCCCCGTGCACGCCATGCTTTCTGCCTCCCATGGGGAAGGACACACAGGTGGACGCCCCACAGGCGCCCCGTGCACGCCATGCTTTCTGCCTCCCATGGGGAAGGACACACAGGTGGACGCCCCACAGGCGCCCCGTGCACGCCATGCTTTCTGCCTCCCATGGGGAAGGACACACAGGTGGACGCCCCACAGGCGCCCCGTGCACGCCATGCTTTCTGCCTCCCTCCAGAGTTTCCTGCCATCTCCCTGTGAACCACTCCTCCCCGGCCCTCCCAGGGGAGGCCCCGAAGCCTGGCCACTGGGATGAGGTTGTATTGCACACAGGCTCCAGCAGCAGAGAGTCGGGAGAGAGAAAACGGCGTGAGCGGACACAGGGCCCAGACAGTGGGTTTCTGGCAGCTGCAGCTGCACCCGAAAGGCCTCACACTGCTGGGCCACCGTGGCTGCTGTCCCCGTCGTCCTTCCTATGCTCACGGCAGTCACGTGAGCCTAAAGAGGTCATGAAAGGAACATAGCGACCACTCCATGATGTGGATTAACTCATCCTCAATGGACTCGCTTTCTATTAAGCCCCAAATTAAAGACCCACCCATAGAAAATGATAGGGGTGGCTGTGTGGAGCCTGGAGCCAACAGTGCCTGAAGTCTGCCTGCCGGAGTTAGGCACGCATGGGGCATTCTAACCAGGCTCACTCTGTCTCAGCCTCAGGTCTTAAATGAAACCTCTTCTGCCTTGAGTCTCAGCCTTCATAGAGGAAAACATGCCCCACGCTCACAGTCCATAGAGTGAAATACAAAGTGTGACAAACTGGAGACAGAGAAATTTTTTCACTTGCTTAAAATGCCGTCCCACTTGGGATCCTGATTAAAGCAATGCAGCCAGCATCGCCCGCTATCAACGGCCACGGGACCCGCATTACCTCCGAGAGTTTGACACACATCTGCTCCTCCCAGCCTTCCTCTGGTGGAGATTCTGGAAGGAACACCCAGTCCGCACCGCAGGCCAAGGCACTCACCAGGGCCAGGTACCTATGTGGACAAGGCAACAGCATCAACACCCCAGAAGGATCCTTCCCACGAGGGCAGCCCAGGCACCCCGCTCAGCGACAGACGTGCAGACCTAACGCCAGGTATGAAGCGGGATGCCGGCCCCTTCAGGACTTTCCACGGGAGCATTCAGGATGTGGGGTGCAGCCTCAGGGAGATGATGCTGAGGGTCCCCCACCTGAACCGCGTCCACCGGACCCACCGCAGGTACGTACCCACAGTGTCGTCCCATCACCTCCAGAACGAAGGTCCTCTGGTGGCTGGAAGAGAAACAGAGGGAGCCCCGGACACAGCTCAGAAAGCAGAGAAACAGAGGGAGCACCCACTCAGTCCTGGAAACAGCTCAGAAAGCAGAGAAAAGGGGCTTTGACAGCCGAGTTAGCCAGGAGGCCTGCAGGGACCTAGGCTTCAAAAATGGTCCATTTTCTACTAAGGCAAACGCTATGCAGTAGCCTTCCAGACTCCTGCGAGGAAGGGGACTTGAGCCACCTCTGCGCTCTCCAGTTGCACGTTGGACACCTTCTGCCTGCCTGTGCCAGGACACACTCACACTCCCCGGCCCCGTGCTGGGCTCTTTCCCAGATACCTTCTCTATTGGGCACAGTCGGCAGCTGCTGTCGACAGCCACGGCTGGATCTCTCCCACGGAAACAAGTGAGTGCCAGACTCACTAAGTGCTTAATGCCCAGAGACTGTGGGTCTTCCCAGGGAATGGAAAAATCCAACTGCTCCGAGCAGCCTTCCAACTCGGTGATTTTCCACCAACTGTGGGGTTCACGCCCACGCACTGAGAATGTCCAGTGAGGCGTCACTGGGAACAGGACACGCACACAGAGGACTGGGAGGCGCCATGCTGGGGACTGGATTCGGGCACTCTCCCAGTCTCGAGCACCTCGTCCTTAAAGGGGAGACACTTATTCTATTTACCATTCCACATGGTTTTCATGCAAATTGCTTCAGAAATTGTACGGTGCGCCCCACAGTCTTTAGTGATAACCTGCTGAGCCTAGAGCACCTCGGATCAAACGCTGTGGCCCCCACGACACTTCGTGAATCCGTAGGTTACACAGGGCAGGACATCGCTGGCTGCGTTTCTAATGAGTAGTGTGGAAAATCCACACAACAGTTTCCTGCTTGCCACTCCTTCTGGAGATGTTTGGGTAGGACATTTAGAGGATAATTACTTTGTTTCTTCCTTCCAAATTCTAATAAACTGTTTTCTATCATCAGGTTAAAAACAAGGAATGTTTTAAAATTAAAAATGAAAAGTAGACCAGAGAACAATGTTCTGGCAATAGCTCCTAAAAGTCAAGTTACGAGACCAGCACCAGGACACCCAATCTGCAGAATGTTCTAGAGCCCGTGGTAACGTCTGAGCTGGGCACACGTCGGGCCCCACTGGCCTCCCGCCGGTTCCTCTGAGCGCTTTACCTCTGGGCCGTGGTCATGATGGCGTCGACGACCTCGATGATCCTGTGCAGGGCGGAGTCCGTGCCGATGGTCATGTCGGTGCCGCAGAAATCATTGTCGATGGAGCCCACCATGCCCACCACGTTGAGGTAGGCGTACTTCTGCACGGCCTCCTTATCGATCTGGCCTGCGCGGGGAGCAAACAGCACGTCTCATCGCCGTAACCATGGCGCGTTCGGGGGGTGCCCCACTAGGGGTGAGGCAGAATGGCCATGGGTAGAGAAATCAACCATTCTAAACTCTTTGTTATTGGTATCATTTCTTTATTATCATTTTTCTGAGACAGGGTCTCACTGTTGACCAGGCTGGAGTGCAGTGGCACCATCATAGCCCACTGCAGCCTTGAACTCCTGGGCTCAGGCGATCCTTCTGCCTCAGTCTCCTGAGAAGCTAGAACTATGCCTGGCTGATTTCTTAATTTTTTTTGTAGACCCACACTCTATGTTGCCCAGGCGGGTCTTAAATTCCTGGGCTCAAGTGGTCCTTCTGCCTTGGCCTTCCAAAGTGCTGGGATTATAGGTGTGAGCCACTGCCCTGGCCGATTCTTTATTTTCTCCGAACTCAAGGCAACCGGATTCTGCATAGTTAAGGAAAGAGAAGCCAGACAAAGCTGGCAGCAGTTACACACAATGGACTCTGTCACCTGGCACTTAGACAAGAGCAGTGGATTAGAAAAATAAAAGAAAGGATCCACATTTGCAATCGGTAAACAAACATCTCAGTACTTCCTGGCAACAGCTTCAGAGAATGACACGGCTTTGAACAGGATACGTTACAATTACGGAATTAAGAATCTAAGACACTAGGCCATCTTCACACTGATTTCTCATGCATCTGTGGGAAGCTGGATCGTGGGTGAGCATCTGCCTCGCACTCAGGACAGACCTGGGCTGGGCAGTTCTGCATAAAGGGAATCGGAACCACTGAAGGGCCAGGGGCAAGCTTGGGCCCGGACTTGTGGCCACTGTCCCGGTCTGTGCACTCACTGTGCTGTGCCAGACGGGATGAGGTGGACAAGCGGGAACCGTGAGGCCTGGCTGCTTCCAACGGGCAGCCTTCTCCATCCCCTACGAGGATGTTCACAAACCTGGGGACAGCTGCTTTGCCTCAATGCCGCCTCTCATCGAGTTGCTGTTAAACAATATGCTTCCCTGGTCATATTTAATATTGCACTGAAATTACATAACCGCTTCAAGGGAGAAAAACTACACTTTGGGAGGCCGAAGCGGGTGGATGACCTGAGGTCAGGAGTTCGAGACCAGCCTGGCCAACATGGCGAAACCCTATCTCTACTAAAAATAAAAAATAAATAAAAAAATTTTAAAAAAGCTGGGTGTGGTGGCGCATGCCTGTAATCCCAGCTGCTTGGGAGGCTGAGGCAGGAGAATTGCTTGAACCCAGGAGGCAGATGTTGCAGTGAGCCGAGATCGTGCCACTGCACTCCAGCCTGGGCAATGGAGAAAGACTCTGTCTCAAAACAAACAAAATCAAACAATCAAACAAAACAAAAATAAACCACATACACACAGGGCTCTCAGAAACGCTTTCCTAAGTAGTGCCAAAGTTGGTACTGGATGATGTATTGGCAGAGATTTATCGTCTAAATAAATTAAAGTCCTGTGGCAACTTCAGTTTTTTTTTTTTTTTTTTTTTTTGAGACAGAGTCTCGCTCTGTCGCCCAGGCTGGAGTGCAGTGGCGGGACCTCGGCTCACTGCAAGCTCCGCCTCCCGGGTTCACGCCATTCTCCTGCCTCAGCCTCCCAAGTAGCTGGGACTACAGGCGCCCGCCACTACGCCCGGCTAATTTTTTGTATTTTTAGTAGAGACGGGGTTTCACCGTTTTAGCCGGGATGGTCTCGATCTCCTGACCTCGTGATCCGCCCGCCTCGGCCTCCCAAAGTGCTGGGATTACAGGCGTGAGCCACCGCGCCCGGCCCAACTTCAGTTTTAAAGGACCCCAGCGAGCTGGAGGGACACAGTGTGAGGGCTGAAAGGCGGATGCTAGTGTCCCAGGCTGCTGGGGACCCGGCTCGCCCCACGGCTGAGTGGCCGTTTGATTCCTCATCTGTAAATGGGATGATCTAAAACCTGGCTTAGATGGCTGTCGTGAGGATTCCATAAAGCTATCTGTGTGAAAGGTCGAAGGGTGCCTGGCACATGGTAAGGTTAAATTACTAGCATTCTTACGATCATTGCTGTTGTTTTTTGAGATCCTAAAAAGTCCTGAGATGGTGACCTGTAAGATCTGTGAGAAGAGGTACTTCTGCCACAGTGAAGAGGGAAACCTGTCGGTTCCAAAGCTCTGAAACAGGGCGAAAACCCGCAGGACAGAGGAGCAGGTGTCCACTCACCGTTCCTGGCCAGCTCCTCCAGCAGCCCACTCCACTCCTTCCGGAAGAGGTTGGCCCCGGTGAGGCTCCCGTCCCCGCCGATCACACACAGGTTGGTGATGCCGCGCTGCAGCAGGTTGCAAGCAGCCTTCAGGCGGCCTTCCCGCGTGCGGAAGGCCTGGCACCGCGCACTGCCAATGATCGTCCCGCCCTGGGAAAGACACCAGCTAATTTATCTCCTCTCAGTCTGAGAGAGCGCCAGGTGGATGGCACACACAGGCCGACTATAAACATGGGGTGCTAGAATTTACATTTTTCTCATTTTCATCTTGTGAGTTAGTAACTAGCTATGAAAGACTGTGATTTTCCTGTTTTTAGTCCCAGACCAGCATTCCATGGACAAAGACAGGCGCGTGACACCCAGGAGGAGCCAGGGAGGGTGCAGAGCCAGACACACGGCAGCCAGCAGTTAAATACATGGAGCAGGAACCAGCCTGCGGTGTCACAGCAGCCGCCTCAGCACCGGCCAACGAGCTCAACCAGGTGCACGTGGAACCAAAGACAAGCCCACTGACCACCAGAGCATGCCGGCCAGGACAAGGGAAGCGGTGTGACCAGCAGCCAGGCTTCTCCCTCCAGTCACCCCTTACAGCACCTGCAAGTAAAACCAGCAGGAACCTGGGGCCAGGGGGATTTTTTTTTTTTTTTTTTTTGCACCACATACTCGCTGCCCCTTTTAAAGAGCTATATCTTCAGGATCTTAAATTCTTTCATCCAAACTTCCAGGGGACATAGATCATGATTCGTCACACTTGGTTTTCCAAAAACTAAGAATTGTTGGTGGGATCCACAAATGCAAGATTTCTTTAAATAAAACCATGAATGCACCAAAAAACTCCATCCGTACGGGATCCCTAAGCGCGTGCTGACTTTGTCAAGCAAGGTGCTCATAAGCACAGCAGGGGTTGTCTCTGCACTGGAGGCGAAGCTCTCCCTGCCTTCGGTCTGCAGGCAGCTCCCAGGAGACCCCTGCAGTGACGTGAGTGCGTGTTTCGATACACCAATGGTGCACGCACACAGCTCATTTTCACACACAGAGACTCACTAATATTCCAAATCCCAGAAAAGCTCCTATTTTTACATGAAACCTACCACCATTTAATTTATCAAAACATTATGAAAAGGTTACAAAAACTGAAATTCACTCCACACGATCCTACGTCACTGGCACCAAGTGTGACCGAGACCATTTACAACCCAACCCCCAAGGCAAGTGAGGGTGGGGGCGCAGAGCAGGGCAGGGGTGCTCTCTGGACTCTGCCTGGACAAAAACCTGGGGGGCAGCACGAGAGCCAGCACAATGGGAGCTAGAGCCAGCAACCCAGAAACTCCAACCAAAGAGACGAGGTGGCCGCAACTCAGGAACGAAACCAGGATAACTGGGCTGCAGAGGAGTGGGTGCCATTCCCATTCTCTCACTCACTCTCTTTCACACACACACACACACACACACACACACCACACACCTACACATACAAGGACACCACATATACACACACCCCACACACAGATACACATTCGCTAGCCAGAAATTCACACAGTTAACACATACACACGGGCACACCACACATACACACTCAGACTCACACACCTACATACAGACACACACCAGACTCACACAGTTACACACACACCGAGATTCACACACCACATACACCACACACAGAAACACAGACTCACTGATACACATACGCACTTCAACTCTCCGTTCACATCTTATCTTCCTCCGTCAATCACGACCGCAGAATGGAAACGCTCCCCTGTGTGAATTCAGCCCACACTCTCCTGATGTTTTGCAAACGTTGCTCCACCTAACTTCCGTGGTTGTCAAAATTCCCTCCACCTCTCTTCTGATGTGTCGGAGCTCAGGAGGCGCCCAATGCAGAGAGAGCCTGGACCAGCACGAAGGTGTGGGCCCCATGAGCGTCTTCAGCGGGGAGGCACCGATTTGGATTATTTCTATTAACAAGTACTCAAAGTGACTCACAGATTAACACATGCATTTCTAAAAATCAAACCACAAGTAAAGAGCTGCTCACAAAGTCTGTTCTGTCCACATAATCTCTATTTCGCAACTGATCTGAGCTCAAGTGTTCTGGGAATTTACTAGACATAAAAGAGTCTCTAACTCAGAGAACCCTGTGGACGCAGCCCAGTACCTACCACTTGCAGGATGCTGGAGACACTCTCCCAGTCGGCCTCTGCGATGTTTGAGCCTCCGTCCACCATGCCCTGGTAGCCCTAGGGGAGAAAGGGAGAATCTTTTAAAAATGAGATAAACTTCACTAAATGGGAAGTGATCCTTAAATTATATAAAACGGGAAAAATGACAGTGAATGTCAGTTCCTCAGCATCCACTGGTCAGAAGACAGGGCAGTTCCAGCACTGGATAAAAGCAGTGAATTGTGGGAAAGTCCTCACCTTGAGTCCCTAGTAATGGGAACGTCTGCCTAGACTCAGCCTCACAGTGCAATGAGGAATCAAGCCATTCTCCTATGGCCCAGCGTTTCCCGAGAGGTTGAAAGGGTCGTGTTTCGCTAGAGGTTGAAAGGGGTCACTTTCACCCAACGTGTTTATCATACTTCAGCACAAACTCACAGGCACACAGCACTGTCGAGCACGGGACATACATGGGAGCATTTTGTCAGGGGCTCCGCCTGCCAAGGCACCCTGCGCCACTTGGGATGTATGTTGAATATTATTAAACAGCACAGCTGAATAATAATTGTCTGCCTTACCCTCCATTAATGACACGGTGCTGCATTAGGGAATCAGATATCAATATGTGAGGACACATTGATAGAAGAAGCCCAAGGACAATTACCTTTTTTTTTTTTTTTTTTGAGACGGAGTCTCACTCTGTCACCCAGGCTGGAGTGCAGTGGCGCGATCTCGGCTCACTGCAACCTGCCTCCCGGGTTGAAGTGATTCTCCTGCCTCAGCCTCCTGAGCAGCTGGGATTACAGGTGCCTGCCACTGCACCTGGCTAATTTTTGTAGCTTTTAGTAGAGACGGGGCTTCACCTTGTTGGCCATGCTGGTCTCAAACTCCTGACCTCATGATCCGCCTGCCTCAGCCTCCCAAAGTGCTGGAATTACAGGCGTGAGCCACCGCGCCTGGCCAACAATTACCTTTCAATGCTAAATGCATCCCCATCTTTTTCTCCACGGAATATACAAGATCAGGAAATGCAGCAATGCCCACGGGTAACTTCATCTACATAACTCACTTTCCACAGCATTTAATCTTAAGAAGGAATAACTATTAAGGATTTAGAAAAGTTCATGATAGATTATTGTTGGATCCATAAGCCCACCTTAGTGAAGGTCCGGAGGACAGAAAAAAGAAAGGTTTTTAAAATTGAAATGACTCATAGATTATGGAGTTCTATATATAAATTAATCAATAGTGCAGGCACCTTGATAGCTGGCCAATTTGTATACTTATATTTATAAATTTCTACCAGAAATATTATATATATATGTGTGTTTATTTTATTTTATTTTTGAGACAGAGTCTTGCTCTGTTGCCCAGGCTGGAGTGCAGTGGCACGATCTCGGCTCACTGCAACTTACATCTCCCAGGTTCAAGCAATTCTCCTGCCTCAGCCTCCAGAGTACTTGGGATTACAGGAACACACTACCACATCTGGCTAATTTTGTTTTTGTTTTAAAGTAGTGACAGGGTTTCACCATGTTGGCCAGGCTGGTTTCCAACTCTTGACCTCAAGTGATCTGCCTGCCTGGGCCTCCCAAAGTGCTGGGATTACAGGCGTGAGCCACCATGCCTGGCCACATGTGTGTTTATAATTTAGTGTCATACATGTAATAAACAAGAAAGGAGAAAACAGTCTGGAATGGAACAGAACCCAAAACAGAGCTGGTTCATTTCAGCGCTGGCAGCCCCGTCTGCACCTCCCGAGACCCCCCAGGCACCCAGGCCCTGGCTCACAGGCTGGTACAGGGACTGCCCATCACCAGGCCCCCTACCTCCATGGCAAAACAGCAGAACATCTTCTAAACACAGCCCAGTCTCACTCTAGGGATTATTATTATTATTATTGTCTCCCCTTGCTCTGAAAACAGATTTCCCTTGCAGTGCAGATGAGCCCAGTGTAGCCGTCCCCCGGAGGGCGAGGGTGAGCAAGTGTGAGGTCGGATGCAGACCTCGCCTCTGCACAGGGCACCCTGGGAGGCACCGTTTATGTTCTGTCCTGCTGCGGATGCTCTGTCCACACAAGGACTCACTGGTAACAGACGGTCATGTGCAAAGCCATGAATGACTCTTGGAGGCCATAATCCTCAGAATATTGTAAGTACAATAGGTAGGTAGGCGGGTGGGTGGATACATAAATAAAGAGATAACCTAGCCTTGGGGTTGCAGTTTCAGTGATCTCTACCACCCCAAACTCCCAGGTTTTTTTGTTTTTTGTTTTTTTGAGACGGAGTCTCGCTGTGTCACCCAGGCTGGAGTGCAGTGGCGTGATCTTGGCTCATTGCAAGCTCCGCCTCCCGGGTTCCTGCCATTCTCCCACCTCAGCCTCCTTAGTAGCTGGGACTACAGGCACCCGCCACCACGCCCGGCTAATTTTTTGTATTTTTAGTAGAGACGGGGTTTCACCGTGTTAGCCAGGATGGTCTCGATCTCCTGACCTCGTGATCCGCCCGCCTCGGACTCCCAAAGTGCTGGGATTACAGGCATGAGCCGCCGCACCCGGCCTCCCAGGTTTCTGCTAAGAATTATGCTTCATTCTGCAAGCACAACAGAGCGCTCCATTCTTCAGGTCTGGGAGCAACACTGAACAAACTGCCATCTGCAGTGATCCTGACTTTCCAGATTGACTTCCATGAAGCTCGGGGGGGCAAGGAAACAAGGAAGCAGGCATGTAGCCTGGGCCACCGTGAAACGGACCCTTCTTAGAGGCACGACCTCCCATCCTCCAAGCCCACATCTCAGGAGGAGAGAAAAGATGACCCATGATGGGGCCTGAACTGCAGCAGAAACCGGGACCTCCCTGAGAGGACTGGGATGTAGAGCGGCCGTAAACCTGGGGCTCCGGCAAAACTGAAACAGACAGTTCCTACATTCCCACACCCAGAGCTGTTGCGGTCATTTCTGTGCATGCAGTTTTTTGGTAAATAAAGAGACCGGGGGGAAGGTGCCAGTTCCGGCCGCCACCCTGCTGAAGAGGATGCCAAGGCCGCTGCAGCATCCTGAGGCCGTCTCAGGCCCAGGAGTCAACCATGCACCCCTAACGGCATCAGCTTTCAGAGTATTCCTGGAGCACGCGCTATCCCGGACGCTGCTTCCAAGTCAACCGCCACCCAGCATTTTACTAGTTAATATGCCATAGTGGGAACCATACAATTTCCTTTCCCTGCATGAGTTCACAGAATTTAAATACGGATTTAATCAAACATGTTAACGAATCCTCTTGCTTCTGGAGTAGTAAGAAAACTGCTCTGCAAACCACAACATTTTGAAAAGTAAAATGTTCTCTGAAAGTAATTTCATTATTTTGTGTTGCATAGATGCATGTGGCAAAGAAAGCCATTAAAAAATAGAAAGGGAGGGCTTTCTGAGTGCCACCTCCAATGCTCCCTGTCTAGTGCATGCGTGAGCTAAGTTGCTAGGAAATGACTCATTCTTTAATTTGCAAAGTCACGACGCCCATGGAACATGTGAAAAGCAACTACCAGCCGCAGTTCTAAGCCGTCTTTCACCAACAAGGAAGATATTACTAAATTAGGAAGACTCATTTTGCCCAAACGTACTACAACGTAGAAATTCAGATGAGTTTTCTCTTTTGAAGTCTTCTTAGAAGGCTGAATATTTATCTTACTACAGCCAAAGCCCAGACGTTTCCTAAAACACCCTTTTGGAATTTGCCTTCCAAGCCAGTTTTATGACTCACATAGGAAAAACAGAGCATAAAACCTTTAACCTTATCTCAGTTTTTTGGCCAAAGTAACATTCTCTGTCTTGTTGACTCTGACTCACAAGATGAACCTTAGAGCTCCTCGTTGGCTGTATCGGATCCATCGTCGGACAGAATTTTTTACGTTGAGTCATTCGATCACATCTAAGAACATGCCACAGGCTCTGAAGTCATTTCAACTTATTCGAAATTGTTTTGAGCTGTGTCAAAATAACCAGCCTTCTAACCATGTAGGAGATCATTCTATATGTAGAGGTGGTTTTGACTAGAATTTTTAGGCAATCGCCGAATCCATCATAAATGGAGTAAGCTAGTTCACCTATGCGCGTAGTTCACCTATGGGTGGCTTTCTCGGACGTCTCATATGTAAGTTTTTTTTTTTAAAGTTACAGACAAAGGGAAATTATACCGTTGTGTTGCAGCAGTAGGCTTTTTCTTTCAGAATGCTTGTTGCATGGGTCCATGTGTCTTCTCAACTGGATAATGCTTTTTTCCAATCTGATTTCCTGAATTCTTCACTCAACTAACTCCAAATGGTGAACATTCCAACTACCAGAATAAAACAAGCTCCTAGAGATAACAGACTTTAAAAGTGCCTTCCAGATAGTGTTATCACCAGCTTCCTGCAGACATAGTTACTGCATCCAGAGATGTAGGGGCTTTGCTGCTTCTGAGTAAATACTATTTTTTTTGTTTCCTACAGAATCAAGCTTTCCCTAGTTTAATCCTTTTCCCTCCCCCACAGAACCTAAAGCTACAACATTCCTTAATAAATTAAAGCATTTCACTTTTAGAATTCAGAGCATGCATGCAGAGGTCAGCTCTGAACGGCTCTCTAGGCTTAGACTTGGGAAACACCAGCGTTCCAAACTAGGTGTGCGAGAAAGAGAGGCGGCAGGAATTTCACTATGTCAATGGTTTTCAAAGGCCAGGAATCGTGGCTTTATCCTGTCTCTAGGAAATTCAGAGGCAGAGCCTGAGATTAAACAGCCCCACACCAACACACATCCCAAGCCCTGCTCACCTCCCCACCAACACTCTGAAGGAACGCTCTTGTCCAGAGACCCTACCAATCACCCCAGCAAAGCACCCTCACTGATTTCATTACTTGATAGAAAATTTCTATAGAGCAGCCTCAGGATTTCTTCTTGGGAGACTCAGTCAACTGTAAAATTCTAAAATAGGTTAGCACACGACACACCATCATGTGGTCCTGCACTTGCTTCTTTGGAAGACCAATAATGCAACAGCATGATGTATTTAGCCCTCTGGCATCACAGATTTCTTTAAGCCAAAGCTAAGAGTGCACAATTCCGGTAAGTTGTACAACCAACAGCCCCAGCAGGAGCGAGGCCGGTCGCCCTTCCTCCCCTGTAGAGAGAGGGTCCCAAGCACTGGCCTGGCAGTGACCTTACAGCAAACCCCACCTTGAGGCTCATTCAGCTGACCACAGTGGTGGGGAGGTGGTGGTGAAGGGAGATGGTGCTCTTCTGCAGTTTGAAATGTTCACTGAAACTAGATTGTCTGAAGCCACAGGCAATGGTGTAAATGGTGGTGGGATGAAGGCAGATCATACATGAAGAATTCAGCATGGGACCTGGCTGGCATATAAACATGTAATAAAAGATAATGCTACGACAGATGCGGTGGCTCACGCCTGTAATCCCAGCACTTTGGGAGGCCAAGGCGGGCGGATCACAAGGTCAGGAGATGGAGACCATCCTGGCTAACACGGTGAAACCCCACCTCTACTAAAAATACAAAAAATTAGCCGGGTGTGGTGGCGGGAGCCTGTAGTCCCAGCTGCTCGGGAGGCTGAGGCGGGAGAATGGCGTGAACCTGGGAGGCGGAGCTTGCAGTGAGCTGAGATTGCGCCACTGCACTCCAGCCTGGGTGACAGAGCAAGACTCTGTCTCAAAAAAAAAAAAAAAAAAAAAAAGATAATGCTTGTTCCTGTGGTTATCGTCACCCTGGATGTGTCAATTTTGTTGGACAATGTTCCAACGATAGGCAGGGAGTGCAGAGCAGAACCAGGCCACCTCAACTGGTCTTCTAGGAGTCAGCCAGCTCGGTGAGCACGCACGCGTGTTAGTGGAAGGCATGGGCTCTGGTAAAGACCCTGTAGAGTCAGGTCGGGAACAGCTACACGTAAGAAACTGCACAGTGCTGTGCTCAAGCATCACTTATTTTTAGACAGAAGTGGAGTGGTTGAGTAGTTTTCACTTCAAGGAAGTTAATGGGCAGAAATAGTTATGTTTAAAACATCAAAGAGATGTGACTGAACGGGATGTGGACAACCTTGCTTGGTCTTTCAACACTGTTGGGGGAAGGTGGGGGTGACAGTCAGGGATGGGAGGGGTGAGACAGAGATTTAAAAAAAAAAAAATCAGACACAGTCCCAGAAGTCAGGGCCAATGCTGTCACCTGCTCTTTGTCTTGCCAACTAGTTTCCACGGCCAGCCCCTTCCACACATCCCAGGAGCGGGAGCTCAGGCTTCCGTGGTCACCCCCATCCACACATCCCAGGAGTTCAGGCTTCTGTGGCCACCCCCTTCCACACATCCCAGGAGCAGGAGCTCAGGCTTCCATGGCCACCCCCCTACCCCCATCCACACATCCCAGGAGCTCAGGCTTCCGTGGCCACCCCCATCTACACATCCCAGCAGCTCAGGCATCCTCCAGATTAGGAGAGGTCCCCCACACCCCTTTCCTCAGACAGGGGAGCACCAGCACTTCTGGGGAAAAGGTGTTTATTTTGGGTCACAAGTGTGAGATTTCTCACTTTAAAAATTGTAAAAGCAGGAGCTTCATTTTAACCCAAAAGAAATATTTCCTATGGCTAATGAAGAATGAAGGGTTTCTATCAGGAAGGGAAAGGTTTTTTTCCCCCATATTTTTTCAATTTTATTGACACATATAATTTTACATATTTGTGGGGTACATGTGAGTATCTGTTGCATGCACAGAACCTGTAATGACCAAATTAGGGTACTGGGGTGTCTGTCACCCTGGGTATTTTTAACTTCAACCCATTCAGAACATTTCCAGTCCTCTCCCCCAGCTGCTCTGAAATACATTAATATAATACGCTGTTGCTAACACAGCCAGCCTACTCCGCTATCAACACTGGAACCTACTCCTATCTAAGCATATGTTTGCACCCATCCACCTCTCTGCATCCCCTCCTGTCCACACCCCCTTCCCAGCCTCTGCTATCTACATCCTCCTCTCTACCTCCACGAGACCAACTAAAGAAGGGAAGCATGATGCCAATCAATTCATTGATAAGTTAATGGTTTGTTTATTGGTATAGTAAGTCAAGCTGTAATGCTCAGGGCTGAAACAAGGGAAGCTAAGATCACATGCTGATATTTCAAGCTCAGAAGGGTTGGCCAGTCTGGGTGCAGGGACAGGGCTGCTGACCGGGGGCCATGGGGAGATGGAGACCCTCGGGCACCTGAGCTAAGCTTGGGGGCCGGTGGCGGGGGTCAGGTGGCACAGGCTCCATGGCAGCACATCTGGGAAGACCAGAGGCTGGATGCTGATGCTGTACCAACACCCTTTATCCTTTCAACATAAAAAGGCATCACTTATCTGACACCTTTTGAATGTGTTATTTTTAATCATGGAAAAAACTAGCGATAAAATGATCAGAATTATTCCTAGCCTTTCTTTAGGGTGTGGACTATGACAAAGACAGCTCTGATATTGTTTACAAACAGCTGTCTAGAGCAGAACCAAACTTTAAAACAAACAAAAAATTAAGATAAAAGACTTTTTTCTTTTTCTTTTTTGACACAGTCTCGCTCTGTCACCCAGGCTGGAATGCAGTGGCGCAATCTAGGTTCACTGCAACCTCCACCTCCTGAGTTCAAGCCTCAGCCTTCCAAGGATTACACCACGCCCAGCTACCTGTTGTGTTCTTAGTAGAGACGGAGTTTCGTCATGTTGGCCGCGCTGGTCTTTAACTCCTGACCTCAAAGGATCCATCCGCCTCAGCCTCCCAAAGTACTGGGACTACAAGTATGAGCCACGGTGCTCGGCAAGAATCTTAAGTGAGTCATATTTGAAGAGCTATAATAATATGAACAATTTCTGAAATCTGCAGAAGAATATTCAACAACAGGATATGAAATTCATGAATGAAACCAAATGCAAGGAGCCGACTGTTTCCTGCAGACACAGTGGCAGCCCTGGATTAACCAACTGACTCGCCCCAGCTTGGTTTGGACCCACCAGAGCCAGGGTAGTTTACCCTGGGCATGGCCTTTGGGTCAAAGCATCTGATATACTTAGTATCATCATCTCCAAGAAGCTAAAGCCATTTGTAGGCTTCTAAGGAAAAACCTTAGCTTAAGAGAAAAAAGAAAGAAGCAACAATTGGTTCACCAGGTAGAAAGGAATGGGTTAACTGGCAAACCCTCCCCGAGTCTCCCTGGAATGCAGCCCAAGGCTTGGCATGCTTCACACGTAGGCTTGGCCCAGGTTTATAGGAGCTCAAGCAGCGGCCAGACAGCAGAGGTCCCTCGATGAAGGCCAGGCTTTCAGCAGAAACGCCACTGTTCCCAGGTTAATACTTTCTTCACACATGCACTACTGAAGGAAAAAACAAACCCCTTTAATTAATAGTAACCTGTTTAACTGTCCTGGTCTGTTGGTAACCCAGAGAGCTCTAGGTTAGAAACTAGAGTATAGGTGAAAAAAATCTGTTGGATAAATTACTGAGTCATCCTTAAAAAAATAAAACATAATATCCCCTCAATTTGAGCCCAAATAGGTCTAGAACAGCGGTCCCCCAAAAGAGTGATTTTCCCCCCATAGGACGTTCGCCGATGTTGGAGATACTGTAAGGACATCTTTGACTGTCATGACTATGGGGTAGGTGGACACAGGGGTGCTGCTCCGCATCCTGAGAGTCAAAGGACCGCCCACCAAGAATTGCCCACCCCAGATGCCATCGCCCTGACACTCAGAGAGAAGCCCAGCCTGTGGGTATGACGCAGAGACCAGGCCGGGGAGGGGGCTGAGCCTCTTCAGTGCAGAGCCATCTGTGAATAGATGTGTTCAGGTGCAGACCCCGTTTCCCTACCTGGCCACACACCCATGGAGTCAAAGGCATGCGCGTCTCATCCCTGAAAAGCAGTCAAACAGCTCCTCTGCCCCGTTAGTCTCAGACTTTTCCAAGTCCTTTCTACCAGGGAGACAGGAGGGCAAACACCATTTCTACTGCACAGATGAGCACACAGAAATGAAAGGTTGATTTATGCATCCACAGTCACTGCAGTACGTCCTGCAGGCCCACGATGGCTCACCCAAAACCCAGGTCTGAGAGGCAGGCCAGGACTCAGAAGACTTGGGATTTTAAAAAGCAGGTTTTCTAATGGCTTAAAAATATTCCATTGCGTATATACGCCACATTTTATCCACGCACCCACTGATGGCCACTTAGACTGATTCCACATCTTGATACACAATGGAATATTATTCAGCCAATAAAAAAGAATGAATCCTGTCATTCTGAGCAACATGGATGGAACAGGCAGAAATTAGGTGAAATAAGCCAGGCACAGAAAGACAAATACTGCAATCTCTTACTCATACATTTAAGCTTAAATAAAAAATTGATCTCATGAAGACAGAGTTAGGATTGATCTCGTGGAGACAGAGAACAGAATGATGGTTACCAGAGGCTGGGAAAAGTAGAAGGAAGCAGGGGTGTAAAGAAGGATGGTTAATGGGTAAAAAACAGTTTGAGATAGAAGGAATAAAATCCAGGGATGAGTGATACTATGGAGCGACTACAGTTAATAATGTATAATAATGTTTAATAATATATAATAATGTTATACATAATGTATAACATTGTATACGATATGTATAATACATATATAATTCATATTATACATAATGTATAATAATATATACATAATATATATTCAAAATAATATTTCAAAATAACTAAAAGAGTAAAATTGGAGTGTTCCTAACACAAAGAGATGATTGTTCTTGAGGTGATGGATATGCTACTTACCCTGATTTTATCATGATGCATTGCATGCTTGTATGAGACTATGACATGCATAGAACTCCCCCACAAGCCAGCAGCCCCACTGCTGGGCATATACCCCGAGAAAGGGAATCGGCAGAAAGAGACCTCCGCACTCCTACATTCACTCCCCATCACAACAGCCCAGTGTGGAATCAGCGCCCGTCAGCGGATAAATGGACAAAGAAAACGTGGTGCACGCCCACAACACAACACCGTTCACCCATAAAGGAGAAAACCCCATCATTTGTGGCAATGGGGATGAAAGTGCTTTACTGTTAAGTGAAATAAGCCAGGCATATGGGCGTGGTGGTTCATGCTTGTAATCCCGGCACTTTGGGAGGCCCAGGAGGGCAGGATCACCTGAGGTCAGGAGTTTGAGACCAGCCTGGCCAACATGGTGAAACCCCATCTCTACTAAAAATAAAAAAATTTAGCCAGGCGTGGTGGTGGGTGCCTGTAATCCCAGCTACTCAGGAGGCTGAGGCAGGAGAATCGCTTGAACCCGGGAGGCAGAGGTTGCAGTGAGCGAAGACTGGGCCATTGCACTCCAGCCTGGGCAACAGAGCAAAACTCTGTATGGAAAAAGAAATAAGAAATAAGCCAGGCATAAAAAGAGAAACATTGCCTGTTCTCACTCATACGTGGGAGCTAACAGAGTTGATCTCATAGAGACGAGAACTGCAATTATCAGAGGTATGGAAGGGGAGGGGTGGGGAAAAGCAAGGATAAAAGGGAAGAAGACTATATTTCTGAACTCTATGCCCACAAATAGTAAAGATGGTAAATGATATATGCATATTTTACTTCAATAAAATAAATTTTAAAAAAATCACATGTACCCCATAAATAGGTACAACTATTATGTATCCATAATAATTAAAAATAAAAAATGTTTTAAAAAGCAGTGAGTGTTACTGCACCCATACTCTGGGCCCTTGGGAGTGCACGGCATCAAACCCACCCCTGCAAAGAGAGGTGGGAGCCGTCACCTCGGCTGGGTGACGGGATCACCCCCAGGCAACGCGCTCCAGGTCAGCCGGGGCTTTGCTGCCCAGTTAGGAAAACACTCACAGATTTTAGTGTGTTTTCTATCTTAGAATTAAAGACTTGGAACCACCCCAAATGCCCATCAGTGATAGACTGGATTAAGAAAATGTGGCACATATACACCATGGAATACCATGCAGCCATTAAAAAAGGATGAGTTCATGTCCTTTGTAGGGACATGGATGAAGCTGGAAACCATTATTCTCAGCAAACTATCGCAAGGACAAAAAACCAAACACCACATGTTCTCACTCATAGGTGGGAATTGAACAATGAGAACACATGGACACAGGAAGGGGAACATCACACACCGGGGCCTGTTGTGGGGTGGGGGGAGGGGGGAGGGATAGCATTAGGAGATATACCTAATGTAAATGACGAGTTAATGGGTGCAGCAAACCAACATGGCACATGTATACATAGGTAACAAACCTGCACGTTGTGCACATGTACCCTAGAACTTAAAGTATAATGTAAAAAAAAAAAAAAAAAAAAAAGAATGAAAGATACAGGATTTTTATATCTGTAACAGCAAAATGATGATACCATAAATGGATTCAACATTTATTGCTACAGCTGGTTATAGAACCCACCACTCATACAAAGTCCTGGCGGTCTGAGGGTCCATGAGAATTTATGTTCCCAAGACGCCCAGAGGTAGGTGCCTGGGCTACACTGGAGGAAGGTGAAGAAATGGACCCGTTCACTAGGATTTCCCACCTTCTGGGGCAGGTGGGGAGGGTGCCAGAGAGGAAATTTGGGCTCAAATGAGCTGATCCCCAGGCTGCTCCTATCTTCCTCAGTAAGATAATTCCAAAAGCCTGATCATTCTTTGTGCCAAAATTCATAAACAGTCCATTCAGCTCTGCTCCTAGACAGCTTCGAAGGTGCCACTTACTATAAAAGTTATCATAAAAATTAGAATTCCCCCAAAACACCATTTGCACACAAGGATTTATTTTGGCCACATCTCAGCAGAAGAATTGCAGAAATTCCGTGAATTTCCCTAAAGGAAATGAGATCTCAGAGTCAGAACCCCTCCTTCCCCACCGAGGGCAGGGGCAGGAAGAGGCGCTGTCCCCGCCAGACAAGGTTGTCCAGACCTCGTCCAGACAGCACCTGCGGCCATGGAGTCACATGGATGGGCCTCAGAGCCCCAGCCCTCCCAGCTGAGACAGAGAGAACATATGGGTTTTACCTCCCAAGAAAGCCCAGGGCCTCTGAGCCAGGTGAGGTGCCTCACACCTGTAATCCCAGCACTTTGGGAGGCCAAGGCAGGTGAATCACTTGAGGTCAGCAGTTCAAGACCAGCCTGGCCAACATGTTGAAACCCCGTCTCTACCAAAAATACAAAAATTAGCCAGGCACGTAATCCCAGCTACTCAGGAGGCTGAGGCAGGAGAATCGCTTGAACCTGGGAGGTGGAGGTTGCAGTGAGCTGAGATCACACCACTGCACTCCAGCCTGGGCGACACAGGGCAAGACTCTGTCTCAAAAACAAACAAACATCAGAGAAAGCCCAGGGCCTCTGGGGTAGGCCTCCCAGTGTGTTCCATACCAACTCCTTAATTCTGGTACATACCACACAGACAGCAGGCACAGGTCTGAGGACATCTGAATCCCACCAGGAAACAGACGGGCGACTACAGCACACAGTGACCAATAAAAATCAGACACCCGACAATCGCCACAAAAACACAACCCTTACATCAAGAGAGATTAAAGTGGGCCAGGGACTGCATCCAAGATTAGGCCCTCACACTCCCCTCGGCCTCACTCCCCACCCCTCCCCAGCTAACAACATTCAAACCAAACACAGTGTGCGCTTGGTTTAGTGCAGGGTCCCTCGGCCTTGTTTCTACCAACATTTGGGTCTGGACCATTCTTTGTGGGGTGTGGTCCTGTCCATCGTAGGATGTGCGGTAGCATCACTGGCCTCTCCCCAGTACATTCCAGGGGCAATCCTTTCAATAATGGCACAATCAAAAAATGCCTCCAAACACTGGTAAACGTCCTAAGGGGGTAAATCACTCCCTACTCCCGGCTAGAGGCCAGGGGTCGGGGACCGAACTCTGTTCCTGGCCCTGAACATGCTGAGTGGTGACGCGGAGAAAGTGAACTAAGGTAAGTCAGTTTATCTGTGAAATAAGAGAAGTGATTTCCTTCCTTTCCTCTGCACCCAGAGTCCCTGTGAGTGTTCAGGCCGCCACTTCTGTGAGGGAACTAACTTCCACTCAACACACAACAGCGTCAGGGCCGCGGGAACAGGAGCAGCCGTGAAAATCACAAGGCATCCTGGGAAACATTCTGTGAACTACAAGTCTTCATGAATTTAAAAACATTTTGCGAATTATAACAGAAAAACCTCCTCCCAGGATACTCCATCCCCAAACAGCTTTTAAAACCACATTTCTGTACTAAGAGCAGCTCTCAGGACGGGTGTGGTACTGTCTCCCAAAGTCCAAGGCAGATCACACCCACCCTCTCCCCCGCCCACCCAAAAAAAGGCAGAGGGAACAAATTCAGTATGCACATGTATATGCTCCAGCAGCAGCGGAAACTAAGCTGGTCTTCGTCAGGTGCAGGTGACCGCCACTTCTGGAAGTCTGTGTGCAAATTCCAGCGCTGGGGGCAGGGTGGAGGACAATGCTGGGGAGGGGGCGGAGGACTGTGCTGGGGAGTGGAGTGGGGGACTGTGCTGAGGAGGGGGTGGAGGACTGTGCTGGAGAGTGGAGTGGGGGACTGTGCTGGAGAGTGGAGTGGGGGACTGTGCTGGAGAGTGGAGTGGGGGACTGTGCTGGGGAAGGGGTGGGGGACTGTGCTGGGGAAGGGGTGGGGGACTGTGCTGGGGAAGGGGTGGGGGACTGTGCTGGGGAAGGGGTGGGGGACTGTGCTGGGGAAGGGGTGGGGGACTGTGCTGGGGAGGGAGTGGGGGACTGTGCTGGGGAGGGAGTGGGGGACTGTGCTGGAGAGTGGAGTGGGGGACTGTGCTGGGGAGGGGTTGGGGGACTGTGCTGGGGAGGGGTTGGGGGACTGTGCTGGGGAGGGGTTGGGGGACTGTGCTGGGGAGGGGTTGGGGGACTGTGCTGGAGAGTGGAGTGGGGGACTGTGCTGGAGAGTGGAGTGGGGGACTGTGCTGGAGAGTGGAGTGGGGGACTGTGCTGGAGAGTGGAGTGGGGGACTGTGCTGGAGAGTGGAGTGGGGGACTGTGCTGGGGAGGGGGTGGGGGACTGTGCTGGGGAGGGGGTGGGGGACTGTGCTGGGGAGGGGGTGAGGGACTGTGCTGGTGAGCGGGTGAGGGACTGTGCTGGAGAGTGGAGTGGGGGACTGTGCTGGGGAGGGAGTGGGGGACTGTGCTGGAGAGTGGAGTGGCGGACCGTGCTGGGGAGGGAGTGGGGGACCGTGCTGGGGAGGGAGTGGGGGACCGTGCTGGGGAGGGAGTGGGGGACCGTGCTGGGGAGGGAGTGGGGGACCGTGCTGGGGAGGGAGTGGGGGACCGTGCTGGGGAGGGAGTGGGGGACCGTGCTGGGGAGGGAATGGGGGACCGTGCTGGGGAGGGAATGGGGGACCGTGCTGGAGAGTGGAGTGGGGGACCGTGCTGGAGAGTGGAGTGGGGGACCGTGCTGGGGAGGGGGTGGAGGACTGTGCTTGGGACGAGGTGGAAGACTGTACTGGGGAGGAGATGGAGGACTCTCCTGGGGAGGGGGTGGAGGACTCTCCTGGGGAGGGGCTGGAGGACTCTCCTGGGGAGGGGCTGGAGGACTCTCCTGGGGAGGGGCTGGAGGACTGTGCTGGAGACCGCGTCTACTGTGCTCATTCCACATCCCTGAGCAAGGGGCAGCTGCCACCAGGGCCAGGGTCCAGGCAGGGAAACTCAGGAGGGCAATCTGACCTTAAAAACACCCAAATATAAAATGATAAAAACAACAGCCTGGGAATGCTACAGCTAGACCCTCCGTTAAAATTGCCCAAATCGCATAAATACAAACAATAACCACGTAACCAGTTTAATTGAATAAAAGCAAACAACAATGACACGAACAAAAAAACCTCTTTCCAGCAAATGATAAACAAATGGATACACAGATAAATGAGCAAAGAATAATAGTAGCAACCATTTCACCAAAGGGAAACATGGCTTAGAAAGCAGACAGGGGAAACCTGCCAGTGCTCAGAAGGCCGCCGCACACAGCGGCACACAGCATCATCATGGGAGCTAGAGCACCGCCTTCCCTGCGCGGGGCTGGGACGAGGCTGGACAGGTTTCAGGAATTACTTAGGCAAGAGGCATCCCAAGCCATCATGATGACTGTCCCTTTTAGCTCAGTCGGTGCCTGATATTAGGACCAAGGTATTAAATAATACAAAACATCAAATCGCTTTGAATATTAACATAGATCTTGCAGTGTTACAATAGCTTAAAAAACGGGGAGAAAGCTAAATAGTGCAATACCACAGGAATGGTGGAATACAGGGTCCATCATAAATGATGAGACATCAATTCAACAAGACAGTATGTTGACATTTAAAGCAACAGTTGGCTGGGCGCGGCGGCTCACACCTGTAATCCCAGCATTTTGGGAGGCCAAGGCAGGCAGATCACCTGAGGTCAGGAGTTCGAGACCAGCCTGGCCAACATGGTGAAACCCCATCTCTACTAAAAAACACAAAAATTAGCTGGGCATGGTGGCAGGCACCTTAATCCCAGCTATGTGGGAGGCAGATGCAGGAGAATCATTTGAATCTGGGAGGCGGAGGTTGCAGTGAGCCAAAATCAAGCCATTGCACTCAAGCCTGGGGGACAAAAGTGAGATTTTTCTCAAAAAAAATAAAATAAAATAAGTTAAAGCAACAGTCGTGAAACCTACGTAGTGAAAAGTCATGACATAATCGTAAACAAAAAACACAGTATACAGAACGTGTTTGCTGTACTTTTCCTAATGTGTGTGTTTCTTTCCGGTGTTTTACATACGTCATACTGAAGGAAATCAGACTAAAACACTAATAGCCATTTTGGAGGCATTAAGTGATTTACAAAAATACCTTCTTCTCATTTTTAAAGCTATGTTTTATAAATTTAAACATTAAATATTTTTCCTAATAATTTCTGAAATTAATACTGTGATCCAAACTCTATTGGTGCCTTCCTTTCAAATACTTTTTAGTCTTAAGTTGCCAGGACTTCAAAAGTGGCAGACAGGGAGTCACTCCTGCTATTTAACACATCAGCAGACACTAGGCATCGTTTCCACCTTACATGAATGATGAAAAGCTCAAAGTGGCTGTTTTCCTCATTTCCCTAAATGTGTATTCAAATTCAGCCTACATTGGAAATTAATAAATCACTTCTACAGCAGTAAGAGCCTCAGACAAATACAACCAACCAACCAATACAACCAATTAGAGATCATTGGTTGATTTCTAATCCTATAAATCAACACCAGGAAGTTGATATCAACATGGCCTTTTGTGGCTGGGCACAGTGGCTCACACCTGTAATACCAAAACTTTGGGAGGCCAAGGCGGGTGGATAGCTTGAGGACAGGACTCAGACCAGCCTGGCCAACATGGTGAGACCCCTTCTCTACTAAAAATACAAAAAATTAGCTGGGTGTGGTGGTGGGCACCTGTAATTCCATCTACTCATGAGACTGAGGCAGAAAATTGCTTGAACCCAGCAGGTTGCAGTGAGCCAAGATCGTGCCTCTGCACTCCAGCCTGGACAACAGAGCAAGACTGTCTAAAAAAGAAAAAAAAGAAAAAAGAAAATGGCTTTTTGGGCTCCCTCTCATCTCCTTTCTCCTCTTGCCTAACAAAAAACTTGCAGACCAGGCATCTGTCCCTGCAGACCAGGGGCTTCTGTGGGCTGAGGAACGGCCCTGGCTGGCAGGATCTTGCTCCCCTGCCCACCTCTTCGGCTGTGCTCAGCATGGGGGAGGCAGGGGTGAGCGAGCGCCGGTGACTGCAGGGCTCTGGGCAGGTGGAAGAAGGGCGACAGGGGGTGAGGGGCAGACACTGACCTCGTAGATGAAGTACACCTTGGCCCCCACGTAGATACCCATGCGCACCACGGCACGGACGGCAGCGTTCATACCTGCAGTGGAAACAGGAGCAAGAGTCACTGAAGAGCCCGGGGTAATTCTGGCTCTGCCACTAACTACCCATGACCATGGGTCCGTTTCCTAACCTCTCAATGCCTCATTTCCTAATATGAGAAATGGGTACACACACTCCTCTGGGATTAGGGTAAGGACTAAAAGAAACAGCCAACGTAACGCAAGGTACCCCCATGCCCAGGCTACTTTCTGTTCAAAACATCACTGCCTGGACTTGGTACGAATTTGTAGGCCACTCCATTCAACTGCAAAACGAAGTACAGAATAGGGGTTTATTTGCAGCTAGCCAAATTCTGTGTGTGTGTGATTTGAGAAGGAGATGAAAAATGGAGTATCACATCACCAACTACCACTGTAAAAAAAAAAAAAAAAAAAAAAAAAAAAAAAAGGCAATGGGCTTCAACAGAAAACAAGTCATGCAATTTTATTATCAGTAAAGTTAAAATAAACCAGCATATTACAAATAACCATACCTCATGAAGATAAAGGGAGGCCCCCCTTGAGAAGAACAGTGTTATACAATGTATCATCATATAAGTCTGTTTACAATGTATCATCATGTAGGTCTGTTTACAATGTATCATGTCTATTTACAATGTATCATATAAGTCTGCTTACAATGTATCATCATATAAGTCTGCTTACAATGTATCATAAGTCTGTTAGCCTCCACCTAGCTCTCCACTGCCGCTGGATTTGGGGGAGCTGAAGCCACTAGTGTCTCGGAACCACCTCTGGGCCTGGAGGGTCTGTCTTGCTGTCGTGGCTAACAAGCTCAGGCCCATCGGGAGAGGAGTGAAAAGGCACGAGGGCCGCACCCACAGCCATGCAGCGCTGCTGCTTAAGGATGAGGAACACCTGAGCCTTCAGTGCCTTTGCTCCCAAACACACCTGAGAGCACCAAGCTTCCTCCTCTGCAAAGTTAAGTTTCAGAAACAGCTGTCAGAACTAAAGATGCTGCAGTTCGTGGGCCATGAAGCCAGTGATGTTTCCAGTCAATAAACCACAAATGAAAGGACTGTGGTCCTGCAGGGGCATCTGTGACAGAGGCAGGCTATGTGCACTTGGACGGTGACCGGCTCAGAAGATGCTTAGAAAAATCTTCAATTACATTGGGCCAGGTCAGCGATGCTGGAGTCACCATTGCCTCTGAAAGTTGACAATTCTGAATGAGAGTATCTATTTGGCTGAAAAACCTTGGGGATACATATTTTAGAGGTAAATGCATGTTTACTATGTATCTAACATGTATGTATATGTATGTGTGTATATATATATTACATAGTCTTATTTACTTTATATTCAAACCTAGCTTATAACACAAAGAATTCGAATGACCTACTGATTAACTAGTGGCCATCTCTCAAGAACATCAAACTCAGCATTTCAAAATGCAGGTCATCTCACCCTGATCATTTCCTCCTCCCGCTGTAACCTCTCTCTTGCCGAACAGCACAACTTTCTTCTCTGTCTCTGGCGCTGAATGCTGCTAACACCCTTGCTGGCTCCTGCCCATACAACCAACACCTGCTCCCAACATTACCCCCGACTCCCTGACTCCCTCTGACATGAGCCACACTGTGGCCAGAAGGATTACAACAGCTTTTTCTCTTTCATTTGCTTTTATGCAAATAATTTATGAATATATTCTTCTTGTTTAGAAAAAAAACAAATGAAGTAACAGCCACAAGAGCCCCACCCCGTTGGAGAGCTGGGTATGGGGACGGTGCCTTGCTGTTGGGCTGTGCGAGTTTCACACTTGTTATTTCTTTCTACACTTTGACACTACGTCCGAGATGTTTTCCATACCAGTTTCAATATTCTCTTTTTTTTTTTTTTTTTTTTTTTTGAGACGGAGTCTCGCTCTGTCTCCCAGGCTGGAGTGCAGTGGTGCAATCTCGGCTCACTGCAAGCTCCGCCTCCCAGGTTCACGCCATTCTCCTGCCTCAGCCTCCTGAGCAGCTGGGACTACAGGCGCCCGCCACCACGCCTGGCTAATTTTTTGTATTTTTAGTAGAGACGGGGTTTCACCGTGTTAGCCAGGATGGTCTCCATCTCCTGACCTTGTGATCCATCCGCCTCAGCCTCCCAAAGTGCTGAGATTACAGGCTTGAGCCACTGCACCCGGCAATGTTCTCTTCTAAAGCACGAATATGACCGCGTTCCTCCAGGTTCCCAGGGCTACTGGAAGAAAACCCAAGTTCCCCTGAGCTCCCGGCCATGCCCCAGGGACCTCCCACCTGTCTGGCAGCACTCGGAGGCTCCTGTTCCTGAACCTTGGTAGCAGTCCCACCAGTGCTCTTGCTCGGACGCTCTTCCTCCTCCAACTCCTCCTCGGCTCTGGCACCTCCCAGGAAAAGGGCCTGGCTTGCCTCCCACCTGATTCCATTTATTCGTGGCAGGACAGAGCCTCCCACCTGATTCCATTTATTCCTGGCAGGACAGAGCCTCCCGCCCCCTTGGCCTCACACCTGTGGAAGGTCCTCGCTCATCTCTCCCATGGCTGGGCTCAGCAGTGCCTGGACTCTTCAACTCGAAGGGTGGACGCACAGCTCTGGTTCCAGGACCTTACGCTATGGTCACTCTAATGGATGAATTACCCATCAAACACAGCCCGTGCCAACACTAGGAAGCAGGTGATGCAGGAGCACAACTAAGACCCAATGGCGGCCCCTCACCCCTGCTCCTCTTCCCCCCCCCCCCACCCCGCTCTCTGAAGACCTCGTTCCCACCGGTCTTTCATAAAGGAATGATGAAGAACTCGGGGATTTTAGGAAATGTTAAGTGGAAAGACATAGAAGAAGGAATAAAATTCTTAAAAGCTGGACATGAGGCTGGGCACGGTGGCTCACGCCTGTAATCCCAGTGCTTTGGGAGGCCTAGGTGGGCAGATCACGAGGTCAGGAGATCGAGACCATCCTGGCTAACATGGTGAAACCCCGTCTCTACTAAAAATACAAAAAATTAGCCAGGCGTGGTGGCGGGCACCTGTAGTCCCAGCTACTCGGGAGGCTGAGGCAGGAGAATGGCGTGAACCCGGGAGGTGGAGCTTGCAGTGAGCTGAGATCATGCCACTGCACTCCAGCCTGGGCGACAGAGCGAGACTCTGTCTCAGAAAAAAAAAGCTGGACATGATACACAAGGTGACCCCAGGAGACTCCTGTGCAGAGTAAAAATGCACCCCAGCACTAAACTCAATCGCTGAAGTCCCTGCTGGATTCTCCCCACCCCCACTCCGGGTTCACCTGCACCCACCTGGAAAGAACAGTGACACCACCCCACAGCAGGAGCTCACCATCAGCGGCCGCAGCACCCCCATGTAGCTGGGCTGCCCCCGGGTTTCACAGGTGGAGAGGGAGCCTGGGAACTTGCATTTCTAGCAATTTCCAGGTGATGGGGGCACCACACTTTTAAAGAGACACAATTCTAGGTCCTGAAAGGACTTCTATTAATTTATGCATTGGTAGGATGGAGCCATGCATTGCAAAGGGCTTTTATTCATGTGTCCTCCTTGAGCTCAGGGACTGGCAGCACTCGGTGGGGCCCAGTAGGACGTCCCTTGCTGACTGCAGACCCACAGCCAGAGCCCTGGCCTGGATGTTTCTCACAGGAAGCCTGCAGAGCTCCTGACACCTCCCTGGAGGGATGAGAAAGCTGAGGCTCTTAGGGGGATAAACTGATTACTGGAAGGTAACAACATTAGTAAGCGGTGAAGCTGTAGTGTAAACCCTAGTCTTATTTCATTTTAACTTTCAAGCCTTCCTAATTTCCTCTATTACAATGCCTGTGCCTCAGAGTCACCAATGGGAACTTGAAGGAAAATAATACCTGCTGAGGCCAGATGCTCATTTAATTGCCTGGGAGTGGAGACTGTTTAGTTCTAAGCCCTCCCTCTGAACTTCTGAACAGTGAGGACTGCAAGTCAGCTGCCTCCTGCTGGGCCCTGCAAGATGAAACCTGAGGAAGCCCCAGGAACATTCAGTGAGGGGTTTGGAGGGAGAAGAACACTGGTGGATGAAAAGCAAGGGGGAAATATACCAGCATTTACTGGCGGGCTGTCACCCACAGGACAGGGACGAAGACGTGCACACCTGCAATGCAGGCAGACGTGCACACCTGCAATGAGGGCTTTCACAGCCCGCAACGTGGGCTTTTGGCGTCACAGGTAAAAGTCACCTGTTTCACCATTTCCTTAGGGCTGTCCGTGGGCCCTGGCACACAGCCATTAAGGGACAAAGGGCAGTTTCAGAGTCTTTCACTCAACACTCAAGCCACAGATTGTCCAAATAGCTCAGGCATCCTGGGGCTAATCCATCTGGTTTTGTTTTGGTTTTGGGAGCCCAACCCAAGGATTTCCAGGAGAAAATAACATCTTCCTACCAAAGAAGAACCTTAACATTTGGAAAAACACCGCTTCGTAATTTGCAAAAATCCCAGTTTTCAGGGAAGTGAATATCTTGTCATGAGAACCAAAAATAAAGTTGGAGATAATGAGGGAGCGGTTTCATAGGAAAGATCTGGTCATTACTCTGACCAATTATTAAATCGCTTTCTTCATATGCCGTACTTTTTAACAGCTTCTTACTAAACCACAATGCAGGTAAGAGAGTCACAGGACGGTTTCTTCCTTGAGTCAGAGTCATCCTTGGCCTACACCAGGGCCTAGCAAGCATGACTTAAGTCACCCTTATTTCCTGGCTACTTGGAGGAGCTGGATTTCCCAGTTTACAAATCTCAGTTTCCTGGGATTCTGCTCTGATAAAATCTAAATTGCATTTTTTTTTTAAAAAGTAAGGAATAGGCCAGGCACGATGCCTCATGCCTGTAATCCCAGCACTTTGGGAGGCCAAGGTGGGCGGATCACGAGGTCAGGAGATCGAGACCATCCTGGCTAACAGGGTGAAACCCCATCTCTACTAAAAATACAAAAAAAAAAATTAGCCGGGCATGGTGGTGAGCGCCTGCAGTCCCAGCTACTTGGGAGGCTGAGGCAGGAGAATCGCTTGAACCCGGGAGGTGGAGGTTGCAGTGAGCCGAGATTGCGCCACTACACTCCAGCCTGGTGACAGAGTGAGATTCCATCTCAAAAAAAAAAAAAAAAAAAGAAAAAAAAAAAGTAAAGAATAGATGAACTCTAATGAAATAATCTGGGTCTATCTTTTACCTCCTCCATTGTCTGGAGTAATAAAGCTCCCTGCCTCGCCCTCTCTCACAGCACTGAGCCACTTTTCCTGAATTTTCCCACACTCCTGATCACTCACTTGTTAATTTCAATGCATAAATTCTTTTTGAGAAATAAAGTCAGTTTGCCGACTCCTCCCGCTGCTTTGTTAGAAAATGAGCTTACACCGCGCTGATCTCACTACTGCTGCCAAAGTTCCTTCTAGGGGTCTTTCCTTTGATAATGTAGGGATTATGTAGGCATGGGGAGGTGGGATGCCAAAGGCAGATTCTGTCAAGGTGCTGTTCCCTCCCCACCCCTGCCAGTTCAAAGTCATCGAACTGGGGGGCCTCTCTGACCTCCTGGACTGTGCAGACCACCGTGTCTTCTAGTAGGGTCAGGGGAGGGCTTGAGATAAATCTGTAGGGCTCTTCACTCAACCACCAACCCACTGTCCAGCTCGGGTGCCCCAAGTGCCACCTCTGCTGGGCTCTGTGTGGATGCATCAGTGACAAGATGGGAAGCCTCTGGCCCTGGAAGAGCTTGTTCCGATCAGGAGAGACCCGAAAGCAAGAAACACAGTGAACAAATGCATGATGCCCATGGATGGATGGCCGTAAGTGCTAAGGAGAAAAATAACAAGCGGGGTGGGGGGTGTTGAGGGTGTGGAGGACAGGGAGGGGCTGCCATTGACAATCGGAGAGCCTGCAGACCTGCCTGAGAGTGACGTTTGGAGAAAGAAGGAAAGGGAAGAAGTTGAGGGAGTTTAGCCAAATGGACATCTGGGAAAGAGCTCAGGTAGCAGAGGGGCTGGGGCGGGGGCGCGGCGGCAGCATGCTGCATTCCAGGGTCCTCTGCGTGGCTGGGACAGTGTCGGCCCTCCCCTGCACATCCCTCAGAGCCTTCGCAAAAACACCCACATGGGGACCTTCTAAATACAGGCAGCACACGCCACCCATTGCGTGACCACACTGTCCCTCAGAGGAGCCGCTGGCCACGTGCGTCCCGTCCACATGGAGATGTGCTTTAAGCTTCTTTACACACTGGGTTTCAAAGACTTACTACGGAAAACAGTGTAAAATATGAATAATCTACAATAATTGATTGTTATCAAAATAGTGGATTGAATATAAAACATAGTTTTTTGCTTTTACCGGTTTTTACTTTTTTTTTTTTTTTTTTTTTTTGAGACGGAGTCTCGCTCTGTCGCCCAGGCCGGACTGCGGACTGCAGTGGCGCGATCTCGGCTCACTGCAAGCTCCGCTTCCCGGGTTCACTACTTTTTTTTTTTTTTTTTTTTGCGATAGGGTCTCACTCTGTTGCCCAGGCTGGAGTGAACTGGTGCAGTCACAGCTCACTGCGGCCTCCAACTCCTGGGCTCAGGCAATCCTCCCACCTCAATCTCCCACGGGGCTGGGACTGTAGGTGTGCACCGCCACGCCTGACTAATTGTTTTGTATTTTTTGTAGAGACTAGGTCTTGCCATGTTGCCCAGGCTGGCCTCAAACTCCTGGGCTCAAGTGATCCACCTGCCTTGGGCTCCTGAAGGGCTGGGATTACAGATGTTGAGTCTTGGCACCCAGAGTCCCCCACTCCCGGCCCCCTGCCCCGCCTTTCTTTAATGCGGCAACTAGATCATTTAAAATTGCATATATAACACAGGCCACCCACATGCAAGCCTCACTCTTGGGAGATTCTCCCGTTGGAGAAACCTCCAAGAAGCTGATCTGCCTGGATTTGCAAACTGCCCCACTGGCTCCAGAGGGAAGCCGCTCTGGAATCGGCTCTTCAATACTGCCCTTGAGTATACTGTGTACCTCTTGACTTTCGACCAGCACAAAGCTCCTTATTAAACGCTGACAAAAATTCCTTCCATTCTGTTGGGAGCAGGCCCCCCCAAATCTGGCCATAAACTGACCCTAAAACTGGCCATAAACAAAATCTCTGCAGCACTGTGACACGTTCATAACGGCCCTAACGCCCAGGCTGGAAGGTTGTGGGTTTATGGGAATGAGGGCAAGGAGCACCTGGCCCACCCAGGGTGGAAAACTGCTTAAAGGCATTCTTAAGCCACAAGCAGTAGCATGAGATATGTGCCTTAAGGACATGCTCCTGCTGCAGTTAACTAGCCCAACCTATTCCTTTAATTTGGCCCATCCCTTCATTTCCCATAAGGGATACTTTTAGTTAATTTGATATCTGTAGAAACAATGCTGATGACTGGCTTGCTGTTAATAAACACGTGGGTAAATCTCTGTTCTGGGCTCTCGGCTCTGAAGGCTGTGAGACCACGGATTTCCCACTTCACACCTCTATTTGTGTGTGTGTGTCTTTAATTCCTCTAGCGCCGCTGGGTTACGGTCTCCCCGACTGAGCTGGTCTCGGCACATTCCAGGTGCCATAATGGAATTAATTAATCTCCTATTGATAGTTTTTTGCTGGTTTTCCCACTTTTTGCTATTCTAAGCACTGCTATGAAGATTCTCCTTTAACCCCCACCTGCCTGTGTCTGTTGGAGCTCACATGCTCTACCTTCCAGCTGTAACAGCTGAGTGCCCATTCACCCCAAGCCCTGACACACTCAAGTCTCTGGGTCCCCTTGGCGGGATGTGTCTGTGGACACAGGGCTGCCCTGCCACGTGCCCCACCCCATAACCTTCCATCTGTGGCCTGCTCCTTGTGATACCCTAAACTTGTGGCCTCCCCTCCCCTCCTCTCCTCTCCACAAAGCCACCCTTATCGGAGACAGTCAGTCTGCTTCCCTCCACCTGCTTCCCAGTTCACCCAAGGCAAAGCCAAAGTCCTCCACTGGGCCACTCTCCTCTACGGACTCCTCCCTCACTGTCAGGTCAGGTCAAAGGGCCCCAACCAGAGGTTCCCCTGGGCCCTTTCATAAGACAGGAGCTTTTCCTCTCAGGTCAGGCTACAGGCACGTCGTACCCGCACCTCACCACAGGAGTGACAGCTCCAGGCAGAAAGGGCCTGGTTCTTTTGCCAAAATCCTGTCCTGACTCACCCAAGGCAGTCTGTTAACATGCACAATGATTACAGAAACACAGAAATAAGGCTGGGTGCAGTGGCTCCAGCCTGTAATACCAGCACTTTGGGAGGCCAAGGCAGGTGGATCACTTGAGGTCAGGAGTTCGAGACCAGCCTGACCAACACGGTGAAACCCATCTCTACTAACGATACAAAAAAGATCAGGTGAGCATGGTGGCGCATGCCTGTAATCCCAGCTACTTGGGAGGCTGGGACAGGAAAATCGCTTGAACTCAGGAGGCGGAGGTTGCAGTGAGCCGACATCAAGCCACTGCACTCCAGGCTGGGCAAGAGGGCAAGATCCCGTCTCAAAAACAAACAAACAAACAAACAAAAAAAACACACACACACACAGAAATAAAATCTTAATCGTAGTAAGACACAGCTGAAAAGATATGAAGGACTGACTCCCCGAGGCTACTGCATGCCACCCTTTCAATCATTTTCCATTCAGGAAACTTCGGATCAGATCATTTACATATGTACGTTTAGACAAGGGGTCCTATATTAATGAATCTTCTCTGTCAAAATCCTGGTCAAAGTCAGAAAACAATCCCATGGGACTCCTGGGAGCATCTCACATTGGGGAAACCTGGAGAAGTGGAGAAGCTGATCTGCCCGATTTGCAAACCGCTCCACTGGCCCCAGGGGGTCCAGCAGCACCGGTGCCCTCCCCGTGAGAGTCGGAGCCTCACTCAGACCCACACAGTCAGGATCTACACCTCCGCAGGCTCCCCTAGGCATCTCTGGGCACACGGAGGCTGGGAAAATAGCACACGGGCCCTGGGGTTGGGGGTCCCAGCACAGTCCAGCCTATTCTCTTTTCCTCCTGAACACTTTCACTGTGGATATGTGTTAGGGAAGAGGGGAGGGAAGACAGAGACAGGGAGAGGAGACAGAGACTGAGTGATGCCTCCATTCTGCAGAGGAAAACATCAAGACCCTATCTCAGCACTCAGCACTCAGCACCCTGCTGACCCAGACAGCAGGACCAGGGCTAGGACCTATAAATGTCTCTGCCTCTCAGTGCTCTGGTCTGCCATGTGTCTGGCTGCCTCTTACATCCTGACAAGCACAATGACTGTAATTCCAAACACAGGACTGGGAGTTGGGGGTGAAGACGGAGAGAACCGAGGAGTGGGGAGGGAAACTGTAGCCTTTGGGCAGCTACTCTCTAATAAACAAAAACACAACACCAGAAAGGGCTTGTGGAAAAGAAACACAAAACGGAACCCAATTACTGACATACGGCCCTCTGTTCTATATTCACCCGCACTTTCTTAGCCGAAATGCCATTGTGAACGTGCAATCTGGTATCCTGATGTTTGTCCTGACTACGTTACCGTATCTTCACCTTTCTAATTTTAATTGCTTCTGATGGCCCATCAGATTGGTAGAGCCCTAATTATTTAAAGAGCCTAATTCTCCCTGATAAAAGGTTGGAGTCCTGTATCAAAAGCTTTTAGCTTTCTGTAACCAAGGGGGAAAACATGCTTCTTTCGAAAGATGACAAAATGTCTAGCTTCGAAGGGTCATTCGAGTATGGCACACAAAACGGTCTGCATTCACAGAAAATGATGCCATTACACAAATCTCCCACTGTGCCACATGGTGACACCATCATTCCAACACACTGCCTCCCAGACCCAGTAATTTTTGCAAAATTAATTACTGCACTTTACACTGAAAAGATCCCATCAAATAATGTATGTACACAGGAAGGTAACGGGCCCAGAGCCGTGGGAGGCAAAATGGCGCTGTTCTCAGTTTCCCCTTCCACCCTACTGGGCTCCGAAGCCAGCATTGCTTCAGACACCAAAGGTGCCCATGTGGGGCTCAAGCCTGGTGTCCAATAAATATGTGTGTCATTGACCTAATGCACGTCCAGCCAATGGAAACCTCACACTTCTGACTTCGGTTTTAAGGTTCTAATCTTGAAGTCTTAACAGTTTACACATATTGACCTGAGGATATTGGATACTTTTAATTAGAGAGGGTTGAATTCCTCTAAAGGACTTCATGGACGAAGAAGACAGCTAGAACCCCTGGTTTCCTGCTCCTCAGTGGAGATTCCAGGCAGGAGGCAGGCAGCAAACACTTGCATTCCTGCGAAGCGCCAGGCATGGTGCTGGGCGCGGGAAAGACACCAGTGAAGACGCAGGTACGCGCAGCCCTGAACATCCCTGCTGCAGCCACAGGGCCCGGCCCCACCACGGAGCTCTGTGAACTCAGGGAAGGTGGTGCAACTCAGGCGCCCCTTGCTCATGTGTAAAATAGGGATAAGTCATTGCCCAGGATCACTGAGGCCCTGCCACATAACAAAGAGTCATTAATGCTAGTTATTCTCACTAGGATTGGAAAGGTTTGTACTTACTCAATTTATGTGGACTTTCTATAAATACTGTATTGATATTCACCTCACCACAGGCAAAAAGGACGCAGCTTTCACATGCAGCCTACCCTAAGGATGCACCTGGACTTCCCAGTACACTCAGCTCCACCAGGCACCAGGACCTTCAGAAGCCACAACCTGTGACTAAGACAATGAGTCACTCTTGGTGTGTGGCACAGTGTTCTGTGGCAGTGGGGACTTAGTCATGGTAAGTCCGCCATTCAGAGTTATGGAGCTTATTTCAGATTGAGTGAAAATCAATTTAAGTTTCCAGACATGTCTTGGGACAACAGAAGATACATAAAGAGGCAGAAGAAGAGAAAGAAAAAAAAAAAAAAAAAAAAAACAGCCTGAGACAGAAGATATCCAAGCAAGTAGAAAAAACAAACAAACAAACAAACAAAAACAGCCTGAGAAATACTTTCTTCATTCAAGGCCCGGGGAGTCGGGAATATAGAAAAGAGAAAGAGATTTTCAATTGTATCTTATAATTAAATAATATACACTCTACTGAGAGAAGAAAAAGCAGCCCATCACATAATATCGTTCTTGCCACCTGGACTCCTATCACTATAAAAAGGCATTTTCCGTTCCCCTAACAAAGCCACCCAAAGAATATCTGTGTAATTTTGGGCAAATCGGGTTTTGCTCACTTTTGAGCATTAACTAGATAAAGCAGCTTCACCAAGAAAGGTCCCTGAAAAACATGGTGGAGATGGTGGAGGCCTGACACAATGGCTCATGTCTGTAGTCCCAGCTCTTTGGGAGGCCAAGGCAGGAGGATCACTACAGGAGGCCAGGAGTTCAAGGCCAGTCTCGGCAGCATAGTGAGATCCTGTCTCTACAAAAATAATAATAATAATAATAATAATAATTAGCTGGTCATGATGGTGCATTCCTGTCTTCCCAGCTACTCAGAAGGTTGAGGCAGGAGGATCACTTGAGCCCAGGAGTTTGAGGCTGCAGTGAGCTATGATGGCACCACTACACTCTGGCCTGGGTGACACAGCCAGACATAAGTACTCTTCGTGGTCTACGGGAGAGTACAATATTTGGAATTAAGATCTGTTTTGCTCCTATCACAATCACGTATGCACCTCATGCCCTTACCTAACTTACTTTTCTTTCTGAGTCTTTCTCCCCACTTCCAAAATGAGGACACGCCTCTCTTGGGATCATGTATTTAGGCTTGGAGATAAGAAGTGTAAAGCTCTTAGAATACAAAATGTTTTCAACAAATGGTAGCTATGATCATCTTAATATACGGAATTTTACCATAATTTCACATCTGACAGAAAATTCCCCTGAAATTAATACGTGAATGTGAATATGTTCTCTCATCTCTAGCTACAAGCAATAGTCTTCTATGTCAGGGAAAATCAAGTACTAACATAGAATCAGAATAAAATGGTAAAAGAATGGGGACACTGAGATATTCTCGAGGAATAACCTACTTACTGTAAGGGTTTGTAAATCTGTGGCAGCTAAGACCAGGCCCTCTGAGTACATCTGGAGGTGAACTTCCTTAAAAGAAATGCGTCCAAATGCTCCAACAGGTTCAAGATCGTATCACCGAAGGGTAAAGCTCTTTACAGAGTCTACAAAAAAATTGTGACTTCAGCTCTGCCAGGGAAAGAGTGCCCAGGCGACCCGCCATGGCGGGCTTCCCCAGGGACAGCCCAGGTGTGACCCATGTGGGCTCGAGGCCACCATATTTGATGCCACCTGCAGAGCTGAGGGCAGCTGTCTCCTATTAACCCGAGGTTGCAGCAACCAAGCCGCGTTCCCCACATAATATTGGTTTCCAAAGTATCATTTTCCCCAGAAAAGAAGAGGCGTGGACTTACTAACCTTCAATATGTCTAACTCCTCCCAGGTGGCAAAACCAGGGTAACAGAGAACACCGCGATTCTGCCAATGTATCCTAATCTCACATGCCTGTACACAAACTCCCGCGCATTTTAGCAAGCTTTTGGACATGGAGCTCAAAGGAATGACCCATAAATATTTTCCAATACATGCAGTATCTTAATTTTTTTTCTTTCTTTTTTTTTGTAGACACAGAGTCTCACTATGTTGCCCAGGATGCTCTGGAACTCCTCGGCTCAAGCGAGCCTCCTGCCTCGGCCTCCCAAAGCACTGGGATGACAAGCATGAGCCACCGTACAAGGCCCACAGCACCTAAATTCCAAAATAACCTTGAAACCCTGACTTTCCACCCGCCCTGGTGGCTTCCAGAGATCAGTTCCTCTTCCTGTGCCAAAGGTTTCTTGTCTTTCGCGGCCCAGGTAAGGTCACTCAAGGTGCTCCCTCTGCTTCTGAAGGCCTTTGACTGAGAAGCCACTCTGGGTCCTATCCCGACCCCAAGGCGGCTCCATTCGTACCCGCACATCTCCGGGCCGGTTTAAGTCACGCGGGCCAGGCTATTTCCACTTCACTCTCCTGTTTCTTCAATCCCATCCTCTGCTGCATCACGTTTTCTTTCTCTGAGAACCCAGCCCTGCAGGAAGAACGTTGATGCTGGGGTCCTTTTACTGGAATGCTAACGCCAGAGCACTTCCCGGGGGCGCTGCAGGGCGGGCTGCGGGGCGGGGCCTGGCGCTGCCACCCGGGTCTCCCGCGGGGGGCGCTGGGCCTGGGGAGGCTGCGCTGCGGGCCTGGGGAGCGCGCGGCGCACGGGTGTCGGGGCCGGGGCTCGTGGAGACGACGGGCCGGGCATCACGTAGGCGCTCGTGGCGGGCGGGGCGGCGCCCACAGCGCCTCAACCTGCGGCACCCGCGCCCGCCCCGCGCGCTCAAGGGCGAAGGGAAGGTCACCCGCGCAGTGGGCAGGGGGTGCATCCCCGCTCCAACCCTGTGCAGTGCGCGGCCCCGAAACGGGAGGAAATCCGCCATCCGGGCCTTTCCACGCATCTGCGGCAGGAGGAACCGGGAAAACAAAAATCAAAACCCAGCTCGGGGCGCGCCGCGTCTCCAGCCTGCGCGATCGCTAAGGCTCCCAGGTTGCGTTCGCCTGGGAAGCGCCGATCTACCCGCCAGGGATTGCACGGATCGGGACACTCCATCATCCGGGCACCGGCGCCCCCACGTGCACCCGGGGCCTGGGGCGCGCCGAGTCTCCGCCACCTTCCGCTCTTCAATGTTAAATATCCTCCCGGCGCGCCCGCGTCCGTGGGCCCAGCCTCGGGCCCCTCCTAGAGAGCAGCTTCCACATTGCAGGGCAGGGAAGCCCGGAGCCCGCGCCGCGGCGCCGCTGACATCCCGGAGTCCCCGCTTCCTGATCCTTCCCGTCTGCGGAGGCTGGCGGGGAGGGCCTGGGACCCATTTTGGTTTTCGTTTTTGTCACGAGCCGGAAGGCGACAGCACATGCGAGCGCAGGAAACCCTTTTTAAAAATCTCCCAGCGGAAACGCGAGGGGCTGCCGGACCGCCCTGGAGACGCCAGGCGGGAACCCCGCGCACCCCCGCCGCGTCCCGCATTGCAGCAGCCAGGACCCCGCCCACGCCGCGCAGGGCACGAGGCGACAGGAGGCGCGCGGGGACCCAGCCGTTTCTTCCTCGACATTCTAGGGGGTGGCGTGCGGCGGAGTTGGGGGGCGGGGGGGCACTTAGGAAGTGATCGCGCTGTACCCACGCTTCGGAGGGGACGCCCGGCCCCGTCCTACAGCTCAGAGGCAGAACGACCCCCGAGGGCGCTTCAGGCGACTCCCTCTGCCAGGTTCCATTTAAAACAAAACCGAAGGTGGAAAACTCACTGATCTTCCGGATGGAGGTTCCTACCGCCATGTCCCTTCCTCCCCCGCCCCACCGGGCAAGGACCCCGGGGCTGCCTCGCCGGCTCATGCCGCCCCGCAGGTACCCCTGCCGCTTCCGGGCGCGGGCTTCTTCCCGGTTCTCCCCATCGCTTCCCCGCTCTTCTCCCCGGTTCTCCCCATCGCTTCGCCACCTTTCCCCGGGTCCCCCCCATCGCTTCCCCCCTCTTCTCTCCGGTCACCCCATCGCCTTCGCCCGGTTCTCCCCAGCTCCGTCCGTCCGTCCCTCCCTCGCCGCCGGGAGGGGGGCGCGCACCTTGAGCATCCCCGCCGCTGGTCAGCACGCCGATGGCCTTGCCGGCCCCGGAGAGGTGCTCCAGGAACTTCCGCAAGGAGCCCTTGGGGGCCCGGGAGTCGTCCGCGTCCATGGCGAGGAGGCCGAGGGGAGCCGCACGTCCGGGTGCGCAGCAGGCAATGGGGACCCTGCCCGCGCGCGCCTGACTCGGAACCGCCGCCCCGCCCGCGCCCCCGCCCGGCCCCAGCGCCAATGGGCGGTGACGGGCGGGGCCCGAGCGTATGGGAGGGGCTGCGGGGGAGGGGGCGCGGGCGCGGCTAGGGGCAGGGGCCGGGGCTGGGGCGGGTGTGGGCAGGAGCATCTACGCGGGGGTCGTCGTAGGTGGGGGCCGCGCTAGCGGTGCGGGAGGCGGCAGAGGCAGGGGTAGCGCCACAGGTGGGCGGGTCCCTGCTAGTGGGGCCGCATCGCAGGTGCGCGAGCCTCGCGGGTGGGCTGGAGGACTCTGGTTGGGGGCTCTAGAGATGACGGGAGCGCCACAGGTGGGGCAGGGGCAGCGTCCGGAGGAGGGGAGACCGCAGGGGGCCGGGGTCACATCGTTTGCGGGGCGCGCCAGGGCGGGGCGGGATAGAACGCCGGGAGCATCTCCCGGGGGGGCGAGGGAGACCGTGAGTGGGCGCGAGCGCCGGGGCGGGTGGAAACCCCGCAGTTGCGGGGAGCGCCGATGGCGGGGAGGGGTGGAATGGGGGCGCGGAGACCCCACCTGGACGCGGAGGCTCGCGGCAGGCCCGGCCGCTCGGGCCGTTGTGGGGGCCGAGCCCGGCCGCGCGCACAGCTTCTAGTGGCCCGCAAGATTCCTCCTGGGGCGGCGCTGGGAGCCTCGGGGCTCGGCTTCCTCGACCCCCGCCCCCAGGTTTCCTCTGCAGCCTGAGGTCGGGAAGGACGGACGGAGAGTGGATCCTCCAGGTGGTGGGAAAAGGTGAGCGTGGCGGGCTGGGCCATGACGAAGCTGCCATTTCCCGGGCCCATGGGGGCTGTGGTGCTCCTGGGCCCCCAGCCCCGCCCTTGGGGGGAAGAAGCCGTGGGGTGGAGGAAGGTATCGGGGCGCGACCCTCAGAGACGCCCTGGCGGCGCCCCGGCCTGGGCGCTGGAAAGTCAGAGTGGGGCAGGAGGAGGCGCAACAGGACTGGCCTGGCGGGGAGGCGGGGAGGCGGGAGGACCCTCCCTCCCCACGGACACGCGCGCTGCTGTACGCTCTGCCTGACCTCGGCCGGCTCCACTGGCCAGCTCCACGTACTGAAATACTCACATCCAATGCACTGTGCGGTTGCCCATCCACAGCTTAACAGCCTGGTGCCAGTTACCCTGCGATGGGAGAGGGGGCAGCCCCCATAGAAGCACGGGCTTATGGGACCCGGGTTCCTTCAGTGCTCACCCACGAAGAAGGGCTCCCAAACGGCCCCACTCGACGGCTCACCGGAGGATGGTCCTGCGCAGTGGGTGTTTGTTGAACAGATAAGAGACAACAAAACAGACTAAGAAGAGGCCTGTTCTATGAACCGGGGAAAGTGAAGGAATCACAAAGAGCGGCTCGCCTTAGGGCAATCCTGGGGAAAAGATGGAGAGGCATGGATTTTTCTTGGATGTGTGCCTCATCCTGGGGCTCATCCCTCTGAGCATCAAATATTCATTGCAAAAGAGGGGGAAAAACTCTGCTGCGGACAATGCTGGATGGTCTGATCTCTCCCTTGGCCAGAATTAACGGGGCAATTCCTAACCCCTGTTGGTCCTCAGAATCACCTGGCCTATGCACACTCCCGCTAAACCACTGAAGTCCAATTTCTGGGAGCTCAGCCAGGGAATGTGTATTTTTAAACAAGCCCCCTAGGTTACTCTGATAAGTGCAAAGTCAGAGAGCGCTGCTCTCATGCACTGAGCCTGAGCACTCTTCTATTAATAAAAAAGGAGAGGAGAATCCTGGGTTGGGTGCCCTTCGCCTTCTGGCGGCAGAAGAGCAGAGCCAGGCTCTAAGCACCTGCACCCACCGCTGGGCTCAGGAGCTGCGCTGGAGAATAGAAGGGCTAATTTAGTCATTCATGCCTTTTTAGAGCAAATTACATGTGGAGAGGGTGGGGCACACTGAATTTTATTTTAGCCAAATGCCCCTTATCTCCTTATGCAATTGATATTTTTATATTGAACATTAGAGGATTGGTCATTTGTCATCAAGTCGTCTGTAATACAGAAAACGATAAATACAACCTAACAGTTCAAACATGACGAGTTAAATAAATGATGGTTAAAAATATACGCTGCGATAATATTTAATTGCTGTTACCACTACGAAGATAAGTGTCGACTGACATGGAAATATGTTCAGGTCAAACAAATAAATGAAAAGGCAGGCCTGGACACAGTGTGAGCCTGTGCTTGCATGTGCGCACGTGTGCGTGTAAGTGTGTGTGTGAGTGTGCACACACGTAAATGTTTCTGAGCATTTTATTTCCTTTCTTTTGCTTAGTATAGGTAATGCCATTTTTCTCTCCAATGAACAGGTATTGTTTGGGGAATAGAAATAGTTAATTAAAAACAATAAAATTTAGAGTGTCCAGATCCCCAGGGTTATGGATTATGTTCAAAAGTTTGTCTGTATGTAAGGGCTGGGGTCAGGGTGGTCACTGACCGTCCTCACACATCTATTCTCATGAGTTTGACCCATTGCTCAGTCAGTCAAGGAATTAACATATATTTATATATACCTGTAGCTAAGATGGAAAAGCATAGCTATGGCTCTTTTTTTTTTTTTTTTTTTTTTTTTTTTTTGCAAGTCGTGTATTTTAATGGTGCTACAACTAGAGATTTTTTTTTTGTTGTTTAATCTTTGGCCTGAGCAATGAATCTTCTAATTCAAGAGGAAGATACTGCATGCCTTGTTGACTGTACGGCTTCCACCCAGTAGGACCTGACATGTGTGTTTGTTCTTTATTGTCCCTTGACAGATTACTGCAAACTGTGGCCCACACCAGCACACACTTATACCACAGGAATGATTACTCCTTGGACCAGGAGTTCAGACAGGCTTCACTGGGCCCTCTGCCCCAGGGGCCCTCTGTGGCTGCAACAGGTGTCTGCCCAGGGCTACAGTGTCTTCTGAAGGCTCAGGCTCATCATGGGAGGAGCTGCTTCCACGCTCACTCCTGTGTTGCTGGCAGGATTCTGTTGCTTGCAGGCTGTTGGACTGAAGGCCCCAGTCTGTCCCTGGCATCAGCTTCAGGCTGCCCTCTGCCCTGGGCAGGTGACTGGCTTTGCCAGAACTAGCACATGTCAAGAGCCAGGGGGAGAATTCCAGTGGACGGAACCTGCAGCCCTTCCCAATCCAATCTCAGGAAAGACCGCCGTCTCTTTTGCCTGATTCTGTTCATTAGAAGTGAGCAACGGAGTCCAGCCCTCTTCGAGGATCTGGCTGTGAACACTAGGGGCAGGGGCCACGGGGAGCCACTGGGAGGGGAGGTGCTGCCTGGGACCTGCCTAGGACAAGGTGAAGGAGAACATGCATAGGGACAGATGCCCTTCCCACTTCCCCTCTGCGGTGAGCGCAGGAGCTGCCCATGTGCCCTAAAGGAGTCCTGCCATCCCAGGAGGAAAGCAGCTCCTAGCCATGAGGGCACCATAACCCTGTGTTCCGGCATGTTGGGCTGCACATTCCACCACCAGGGCTACCTGAGCTGCAGCCTCTTCCCTTCCCCTGCTGTTTCTGCCTGTGCATGGAGTAGGCATCTCAAATCTGCAGGGGCCAAACTGAGCTTAGGCCTCTGCACCCCCACGCAACCCCCCACCCCTCGGTCTTCCTCACCTCAGCTCCTGGTGACCCCATCCTCCCAGGGTCTCAGGCTGAAGCCTTGCAGTGCTCCTCTACCCTGGCATCCAAGTCTCTCAGGAAGGTCCCTCCTGGCTCTTCATTGCATCTGGAGCCACTGGGGCCAAGCTACCACCTGTGACCTGGACTGACACAGGCTCCCTCCCCATCCCCTGCTCTGCCCCCACCTCCACCCCACCTCCATGCCTCGGGTGTCCTCAGCTTCAAAGTCAGGGTGCACCTATCAGGATGTAATTCAGGCATCTCCTCTGCTGACTTGGGAGTCACAGGCCCCACACATGGCCCACTGGTCCATCGGATCCTAGTGCTGCCCAGAGACCCATGCAGGCACCCGACAACCTCAGGCCCAGCCTGCTCTTTCCTCAGCCCGGGCCCTCCTCTCCCTACCCACTCTTCCCACCTTCCTCAGGTCTGTCCTGCAAGGTCTCCTGCATGGTGAGGCCTCCCCAGATCACCCTGTTAGAAATTCGGGCTCCATGCACACTCCTGTTCCCTCCCCGCTTCTCTTAAAACAGCCTCATGCGTGTCACACGTGGGGCATTTCACCTATCTGCTGGGCTTCTCGACAGGCCCCCCTGCTGAACTCTGAATGCTGTGGATTCAGAGATCTTTGACTATTCCCTGTTGCAGGCCCAGGGCAACAGCAGAGCCCAGGACAGAGTGAACCTGCCATGGGTGCTGCTGAATGAATGGAGTGAGTGAGTGAAGGAGTAAATGAGTGAATGGGTGAGTGAGTGAGTCAGTGAATGAGTGAGTGAGTGGATGAGTGAAGGAGTAAGTGAGTGAGTGGGTAAATGAGTGAGTGAAATGAGTGGGTGAATGAGTGAACGTGAGTGAGTGAATGTGTGAGTGAGTGAATGGGTGAATGAATAAGTGAATGAACGAGTGACTTAGTGAATAAGTGAGTGAATAAGTGAATGAATCAATGACTTAGTGAATGGGTGAGTGAATAAGTGAGTAAGTGAATAAGTAGTGAATAAATGAGTGAATGAGTGAGTGAGTGACCGAAGGAGTGAATGAGTGAGTGAGTGAATGAATGACTCAGTGAATGGGTGAGTGGGTGAATGAGTGAGTGAGCAAATGAGCCGGTGAGTGAGTGAATGGGTGAGTGAATGAGTGCGTGAACAAGTGAATGAGTGAGTGAACAAGTGAATGAGTGAATGAACGAATGAGTGAATGAGTCAATAAATGAGTGAGTGTATGAGTAAAGGGTGAGTGAATGAGTGAGAGAGTGAATGATTGAAGTGAATGAGTGAGTGAAGAGGTGAATGAGTGAGTGAGTGAATGAATGAATGAGGGAATGAGTGAGTGAGTGAATAAGTGAGTGAATGAGTGAATGGATGAGTGAGTGAAAGGGTGAGTCAGTGAATGGCTGAGTGTGTGAATGAGGGAGTGAGTGAATGAGGGAGTGAATTGAAGGGATGGGTTGCCCCTCCACACCTGTGGGTGTTTCTCATTAGGTGGAACGAGAGACTTGGAAAAGAAAGAGACACAGAGACAAAGTATAGAGAAAGAAAAAGGGGCCCAGGGGACTGGCGTTCAGCATACAGAGGATCCATGCCGGCACTGGCCTTTGAGTTCCCTTAGTATTTATTGATCATTATTGGGCATGGCAGGATAATAGGATAATGGTGGAGAGAAGGTCAGAAGGTAAACACGTGAACAAATGTCTCTGCATCATAAACAGGGTAAAGAAAAAAGTGCTGTGCTTTTGATGTGCATATACATAAACATCTCAATGCCTTAAGGAGCAGTATTGCTGCCAGCATGTCCCACCTCCAGCCTTAAGGCAGTTTTCCCCTATCTCAGTAGATGGAATATACAATCGGCTTTACACCGAGACATTCCATTGCCCACGGAGGAGCAGGAGACAGAAGCCTTCCTCTCATCTCAACTGCAAAGAGGCGTTCCTTCCTCTTTTACTAATCCTCCTCAGCACAGACCATTTACGGGTGTCGGGCTGGGGGACGGTCAGGTCTTTCCCTTCCCACGAGGCCATATTTCAGACTATAACATGGGGAGAAACCTTGGACAATGCCTGGCTTTCCTAGGCAGAGGTCCCTGTGGCTTTCCGCAGTGCTTTATGTCTCTGGGTACTTGAGATTAGGGAGTGGTTTGAGATTAGGGCGTGGTGATGACTCTTAACAAGCAAGCTGCCTTCAAGTATGTGTTTAACAAAGCACACCCTGCACAGCCCTTAATCCATTTAACCCTGAGTTGACACAGCATGTGTTTCAGGGAGCACAGGGTTGGGGGTAGGATTACAGATTAACAGCATCTCAAGGCAGAAGAATTTTTCTTAGTACAGAACAAAATGGAGTCTCTTATGTCTACATCTTTCTACACAGACACAGTAATAGTCTGGTCTCTCTTTCTTTTCCCCACAGTGAATGAGTGAGTGAATGAGTGATCGAGTGAGTGAGTCAATGGGTTAGTGAATGAATGAGTGATTGAGTGAGTCAATGGGTTAGTGAGTGAATGAGTGATTGAGTGAGTGAATGAGTGATTGAGTGAGTCAATGGGTTAGTGAGTGAATGAGTGATTGAGGGAGTGAGTCAATGGGTTAGTGAGTGAATGAGTGATTGAGGGAGTGAGTCAATGGGTTAGTGAGTGAATGAGTGATTGAGTAAGTCAATGGGTTAGTGAGTGAATGAGTGATTGAGTGAGTGAGTCAATGGGTTAGTGATGAATGAGTGATTGAGTGACTGAATGGGTTAGTGAATGAGTGAATGAGTGAGTGAATGAGTGATCGAGTGAGTGAGTCAATGGGTTAGTGAATGAATGAGTGATTGAGTGAGTCAATGGGTTAGTGAGTGAATGAGTGAGTGAGTCAATGGGTTAGTGAGTGAATGAGTGATTGAGGGAGTGAGTCAATGGGTTAATGAGTGAATGAGTGATTGAGTGAGTGAATGAGTGATTGAGTGAGTGAGTCAATGGGTTAGTGATGAATGAGTGAATGAGTGACTGAATGGGTTAGTGAATGAGTGAATGAGTGAGTGAATTGGTTAATGAGTGAATGACTGAGTGAAAGTGAATGAATGAGTGATTGAGTAAAAGGGGGTGAATGAGTAAATGAGTAATGAGTGAGTGAGTGAATGAGTGAGTGACCGAATGAGTGAGTGAATGAATGAGTGAGTGAATGAATGAGTGAGTGAATGAGTGAGCGGGTCGCTCAGAGGAGGTGAGGACCGGAGCTGCCCTCTGACTGCTTCAGGAGACAGGAGCTGAGGGAGGAGCCTGAAGGGTGGGTAGGAGGTGCCCACTCAGTACTTATACCCTGCCTGACACATCCCCAGAGAAACCCAATCTCACCAGAGTGGTCTCTTGAGAATTATCAGTAACAACCTTTTTTCCCAGTATTTCATATATTCAGGGTGATTTCTTACTTTCCTTTAAAATGCCAATTGCTTTTCGGACTTGGAATTCTCCACTGTTGCTCCACGCCACTGTATCTCCCATAGGGGCGTCCCCCGTCATTCCCAGGAATGGATAAAAGCCAGAAGGGCGGCATCAGGTGGGGCCCCTTCTCCTATCATCCTCCCCTTCCTGCTTGCGTTACCCTAAGTGACTTGTTTTGGAAGTCTACAAAACGCAGACACATCAAATTTGGATAAAAGCGTAAGCAATTTAAGAGGTTGCAGTGCTAGCGGGAAGGTCTTTGGCTGCCGGCACCCTCCTCCCCTCCAGACCCTGCTGGACCCAGGACTCTGACTCTGCCTTCGGCCTTGGGGGTTTCATTCCTTCTTTCCTTGCCAGCCACTGAGCTGCCTTGGGCTAATCTGCAACCACAGAGGGGCAACCATCCTCCTTTCCTCTTGCCTCTTCCTCCCTTCTTCTCACTTTCCTTCTGCTTCTTTCGGGACTTTGGAAAGTTCAAGAATAAGCAAAACTGTAGATCAGAAAACGCTGCCTTCAGCCTATTCTCCTCCCACCAGCTTCCCTGCAGATTCTTTGATCTTTAAAAAGTATTTTGCTTTGTATCTAGATGCTAAACTTTATATAGAAAACAGGTGGGGTTGGTTTCTCGGCCGGGTACAGTGGCTCACACCTATAATCCCAGAGCTTTGGAGGCCAAGGCAGGAGGATTGCTTGAGGTCAGATGTTTGAGACTAGCCTGGGCAACATAGGGAGACCTCGTCTCTACAAAATCCAAAAAAATTAGCCTGGAGCGATGGCACACCTGTAGTCCCAGCTACTTGGGAGGCTGAGGCAGGAGGATCACTTGAACTCAGGAGTTTGAGATTACAGTGAGCTATGATTACATCACTGCACTCCAGCTTGAGCAACAGAGTGAGACACTATCTCCCAAAAAAGTAAAAATAAAAAGTGCTGGAGTCCATATCGAAGCCCACAGCCAATTGTGACATGTGAATCTTTTATTTTTATAATCTGCCTCTCTTGTCTAAGTGCCAAATGATGCTCACATTGTGTGTAACTACTTCCACCTTTGTCTGGCTTCTTTTTCCTTAAGTATGCAGAATCAGGTTGCATAGAGTTCTGAGAAAATAAAATAAATCCGCTGTGTGCTGTGGCTCATGTCTATAACCTCAGCACTTTGGGAGGCTGACACAAGGATTGCTTGAGACCAGGAGTTTGAGGTCAGCCTCGGCCACATAACGAGATCCTGTCTCTATAATAAATAAATAAATAAATAAATAAATAAAACATTAGCAGGACATGGTGGCACAGCTGTTGTCCCAGCTACTCAGGTGGTGGAGGCCTGAGGATTGCTTGAGCCTGGGAGGTTGAGACTGCAGTGAGCCGTGATCATACTACTACACTTTGGCCTGGGTGAAACAGTGACACTCTATTTCTAAAAAAATAAAGTAAAAATAAAAACAGTTGGAAGCTTCCCAAGACTTTGATGCAGAAACAGGTTGCCCTGAACCAATTAAAATTAATATCTAAAAACTGGAAAGAAAGGAAAGAAAGAAGTTTGCATTATTTCTGTAAAGTATGATGCCATTACAAGTTTTACTTTCTCTGGGACATTTTCTCAGTGGTGTCAACTGAAGTCCACTTCACAGAATGACTTCATCTCCTGAGCACTTTGGAGAACGACGATTAAAGAGACTTCCTGGCACTCCTGATACTTTTAGTGTCATATGGAAGCAGCAAGAGTCATATGTGTTAAATCCGTGGTATTAAAGCAGAAGACATTGGTTTGTTCTTTCATGAACATTGTCAGAGCATTTCCCTAATGACTAGCGTTATGTCAGAAAATGGGGGGAGAGAGATGGTTCTTTATTGGCAAATAAGTTACATAAATTTCCCAGTTAGAAAAACAATCATGATTTTAGCCATGTCAGATGAGGTCAGAGATGCCCTATGCCTCAGTTATGGAATGCTAAATCTGAATATTGGTTGACAGGTATCTTCCACGGACCTGTGACCTGTCGCTGTGTACAAGCTTGAATTCCTAACTACGAGTCCTTGAAGCTCCCTTGCTGCCTGAGCGGAACTGAAATGGCTCCCGGCTGAGGCATTCAAGGGAAAACTCACTGAAATATTTGAAACTACCACCATGAACAAGAATGCTCTTCCAGTGTGCCAGGATGTACACCCAGAGCATTATCCTCATTAGTTGTATATGCCAGCATCCGGCAGGCGCTTTTATCTTCTTTGGGTGTCAACTTTGAGATTCTTATGTAAGCTGCGACCTCTTCCTCTGCCTGCAAGCACATCCACCCACAACCACGTGTTGCCTGGTTTAGAGCCTGCGGCTGGGTCCACCTGCAGGAGGAGGAGTGACTGGTGCAGTGAAGCTCAGACCAGGTACAGGATCAGAGCTGCGGTCACACGTCCGGGGCAGACAGCTCTGCATTCTTGGGAGGGCCCAGGTACCCTCTTCTCTTGGAAGGCCAAGCCCAGAGCCTAGGTGGTCTTTGAACCCAAATAGACTTTGTAGTCCAGGGAATGGGAGCCTCGCTCACCAGGGGAAGAAATTAGGGATCTTGGTCCTGAGTTTGTGGGGTAGACTTTGCCATTTTCCTCCCCCTTTCCCGGCCATGCCCTGTTTGAAAAGAGGTCACTTCCATTTCAGTGAGCCAAGATCGAGCCACTGCACTCCAGCCTGGGCAACAGAGTGAGACCCTGTCTCAAGGAAAAAAAAAAAAGAAAAGAAAAGAGGTCACTTCAAAACTTCCCTGTTCAAACAGTTGACCCTTGAACAGCAGGGTTTGAACCGCATGGGTCACTTACTTACACATGGATTTTTTTCACTTCTGCCACCCCTTAGACAGCAAGACCAACCCCTCCTCCTTTCCTTCCACATCCTCCTCCTCTGCCTACTCAATGCAAAGGTGAGGAGAAGAACCTCTATGATGAGGCACTTAATGAATAGTCAACACATTTTCCTTAGGATTGCTTTATTTCCTCTAGCTTACTTTACTGTAAGAATACACTATACAATACATATAACATACAAAATTTGTGTTAACCAATTATCTGCGTGATCACTGAGGCTTTTACCCAAGAATAGGCTATTCTTGGGTAACGGTCAATCCGTTTTTGGGTAGTCAAAAGTTATTGGCTGAATTTCGACTGTGTGGCGGGTTGGTGCCCCTAATCTCTGCATTGTTCAAGGATCAATTGTATTGCTTAAGAGGTGGTCATTGGAACACTCCTTAGGGGCTGACTATTTTTTTGTTTAAAAAAGTTTTTGCCACAGTGGGCCGCTCGTTTAAGGCCCTAAGATTCCTCACCTCTGAGCTCCTGCTACCATAGACCAAGTGCTGATCATTTTTGTTGCTCAACATACTTGTCTCTTCCATCTGCCACAGGACCCACTCTCACCTTCCAGGAACTGCTCCTTCCACTGCCTGTGGACCTGAGGGTCAGCGTGTCCAGCCAGGCCAAGTAGGGAGATCAGTCCTCTCCTGTGCCCCAGTTCATGGATGGGCACAGGATGTGGGTGGTGGGGGTGGTCCACCCGCTTCCTGCTAATCCCACTGGATCATCAGGTGGGGAGAGTCAGCTTGCATAGTGAAACCAGAGAGCTGCGAGATGGAGAGTGGGAGTGAGAAACCAACAGAGTGAGACACACACACACACACACACACACACAAAGAGGGAGAGTGAGAGAGAGAGAGAGGGTCAGAGAAGCAGAGACACAGACAGACATAGAAAGATGGAGTAAGAGATGAGGGGAAGAGAGAAACAGAGACAAACACAGAGTCTTAAAAAGAGACAGAGAGAGACAGAGCAACCAGGAGAGAGAGAGAGAGGGAGAAACAGAGACAGGCAAAGTGAGAGGCAGAGAGAGATGGAAAGAGAGATGGGGAGAAAGGCAGAGAGAAGCAAAAGCACAACGTTCCTTGAATTGCTTCTCCCTGAGGTCACCATTCTATTTCTGCACTTCCAATCACCACCAGGAATCTTTCTAAGTCACCTGTCCTCCTTCCTTCCCTGTCTTCCCCACGCACTCTTACTAAAGCCTCCTGAAATCTGCCCTCCCAATGACAACTCCTCCTTGAAATGTCACCACTGACTTCCAAACAAGCAGCAAATAAAAAAGGTTTTTAAAACACTGACTTCTACCAGTTTCTAGTTTTTCTAAAGGTTATGGTGCTGTTTCTTAATACCTCTCTCGAACATCTTTCTCTTTGTTTTTTTTGCATGAATTAACATGAAAATAGAGCACAACATATTATAGTGAATATAGACTATAAATGATGTTTTGTGCATACTTTATTACTAGTGATAAACACTGTATAAGTAATTTATTTTTGCCATTTCCTACTTACTATGGTTTGAAAGTGTCCCCCAAATTTCACGTGTTGGAAACTGAACCCCTCATGCAGTAGTGCTGAGGGGACGGATATTTAAGAGGTGATCAGGTCATGAGGGTTTCACCCTCATGAGTGGATTAATGTTTTTTGTTTGTTTGTTTGCTTTTTTTTTTTGAGATGGAGTCTCGCTCTGTTGCCCAGGCTGGAGTGTAGTGGTGCAATCTCAGCTCACTGCAAACTCCGCCTTCTGGGTTCACACCATTCTCCTGCCTCAGCTTCTAGAGGAGCTGGGACTACAAGTGCTCACCACCACGCCCGGCTAATTTTTTTGTATTTTTAGTAGAGGCGGGGTTTCACCGTGTTAGCCAGGATGGTCTTGATCTCCTGACCTCGTGATCTGCCCACCTCGGCCTTCCAAAGTGCTGGGATTACAGGCGTGAGCCACCACGCCCGGCCGGATTAATGTTGTTATTGGGGGAGTGGGTTCATTATCACAAGAGTGGGTCTGTTACAAAAGTGAGTTTGACCCCTCTTACTCCCTCATGCTCTCTTGCCCTCCCACCTTCCCGTGGGATGACACAGCACAAAGGTCCTTGCCAGATCACCCTTTAACCTTGTACTTCCCACCTCCAGGACTGTGAGAAGTGAATCTCTGTTTTTGTAAATTACCCAGTCTCAGGTACTCTGTTAAGGGAAGCAGAAAACAGGCTAAGACAAAATGTTTTAGTATCCTCTTCTCTCACAGTTGCAGTGAGAAGTTTATACTTTGTTTTGCTTTGTGGCAGATGAAGTGCTAAATAATAGGCATAATTTTGAAGGTTTCTCCTTCTATCCTAATATTTGATCCATTTAAAAGTTTCTATTACACTGAGTTGTTGACCCTTGCTTCTGATGCCTCAGAGATGTCTGGAAGAAAATCACGGAGGAAACCTCAAGTGCCATGTAGTCTGTCTTATCTAAGTGCCCTCTGGACTTCGAGAAGGCTCTTTCTGAGAACCAGGGAGCTAAGGATGTAGCCCAACTCAAGATACTTTCCTGGAAAAGCTTTCAGAACATAGCCATTCCCTGGGAGCATCACAGCTTTTAGACTTCACAACAGGCACCAGAGAGCAGTCAGAAGGCCATGGAATATTTCACCTGAATTCCTTCCAGCATTGTGTTCCAGGAAGCTAGAAACTTCCTCCCCCTCCATGTGGGTCTTAGGTTTCTCTTTCCAAACAAAAACAGACTTGTTTTTGAATTATCTCCAAGAAGACAAGGTCTTAGCATTATACATAATTGAATTGTAAATCTTCTAAATTTAGAAAGAAACAGTATGGAAATAATTCAGAAGCCCTTGAGTTTTTAGCTAGAAGACTCTGCAGTGGTGGGGGGACTCTTTGTATCCTGAAAATTCCCGGCATGCTTCTTCCACAACGATCCTTGCTTGTGTCTCTCTCCAAGCACGTCTGTGAATAACCCACTCATCCTTCCAAGCTCAACTAAAACACCATGTGACAGAAACAGTTGGTTCAACATCCATTTCCTCCTCCTCTTCTGACTGAGGCTCTGCGCTAAATGCTTCATTCCCCAGCTGTCTTTGTGCACGCATGTGGTCATGTGGGTCCATTCTGGCCCATGTGATTTAAGTAGAATTGTTGAGCACGACTTTCAAAAGGACTCCTTAAAAGGAGTTCAACTACTGAGTATGGCTTTTTTTTTTTTTTCTTTTTCCTGCTGCTTTGAATGCAGCTGTGATTGCAGGAACAAAGCTGCTATCTTGGGGCATGAGGTGATCTAGAAGATACAACCACCTTCAGTCAAAGTGCCTGAGGGAATGACAGGAGAAGCTGGGCTCTCTGATAAGATCACAGATCCAGTGCACAGGGGAGGATTGCCTCCCTTCAGATTCCTTTCATGTGAAAGGACAGACCTTTCTATGTGTAAGCCTCTGTTAGCTTGAGTCTTCCATTTTATGCAGCCAAACTTAACCCTAACTGACACACATCATCTGCTTATATTTTTGTGATGCTGTCTCTAATCTCTTAGGTAACTGTGTCCTCCCAGAAACCTATGGAGAGCTGAAGGGGTTTTAGGATTGTGGAATCCACCCTCCTCGTTTGGTAAAAGAGGACAAAGGCCACAGAGCAGTGCGCTGGCTGAGGCATGCGATTGTAAACCAAAAGGTACCTGAGACCAATCTCAATCCATTTAAAAGTTAATTCTGCCAAGGTTAAGGACATGCTCGGAAGGAAAAAACATGGAATCACAGAAACAGTCTGTGGTCTGTGCCTTCCTCCCAGTATGATTTTGAGGGCTTCAGTATTTAAAGGGGACCGGTGGGCTGGAGGGGAAGGGTGGGCTGGAGGGAAAAGGTGGACTGGAGGGGAAGGGTGGGCTGGAGGGAAAAGGTGGACTGGAGGGGAAGGGTGGGCTGGAGGGGAAGGGTGGGCTGGAGGGGAAGGGTGGGCTGGAGGGGAAGGGTGGGCTGGAGGGAAAAGGTGGACTGGAGGGGAAGGGTGGGCTGGAGGGGAAGGGTGGGCTGGAGGGGAAGGGTGGGCTGGAGGGGAAGGGTGGGCTGGAGGGGAAGGGTGGGCTGGAGGGAAAAGGTGGACTGGAGGGGAAGGGTGGGCTGGAGGGGAAGGGTGGGCTGGAGGGGAAAGAGGGAACCTGTGGTCATCCTTAGGTTGCAAGAGAAACAGAGCAGATGGGGATGGTCAGCTATGTCTTCATCTCACATGTGGTAAATCAGCCCTGTACGTAAGATAAGGTGAACATAGACCAGCTTCCTGTGGAGATATGTAACCCTTTATCTGTAGCTATCTGCTTAGGAACAAAAGGAAAGGCAGTTTCTTGCATGATTCAGCTTCCAGCTTAATTTTTTTTTCCTTTTTGGCTGTGAATTGGGGTCCCAAAGCTTTATTTTCCCCGCACACTATATTGTATCTGAAAACTGTTGTTTGGGACCTAAAATTGTTTACTTACTCCACCTACATCCCTTAGCTCAGTTTCCATTTGGAATGGCTTCCGGAAGGCTGGAATTGAAATCCACCAGTGCCCATTTCAAGGTGCTCCCAACACAGCCTGGAAAAAAGGAGCCCAGATACGCTTCCCTGTGGACGCAGGTCAGTCATCAGGACGCACAGAAACAGCGTTGCCCTTGGCCTGGAGCCATTGTCCTGAAAGGGGATCCTTCCCAACTGGGGCCTGAGACTGATCCCTGAGAAGTGGCCCCTCCATCCTGGAACCCCTCCTGCTTGTGTCTCCTTACTTCCTGGTGATCACCGCATTCAGGCTCAGAATGCCGCAGGCCTATCCCACTGGAAGCTGCCAAGGTGCCCAGCGCCCTGTTGCACTCTTGTCCCACAGGACGCCAGGCACAGCAGCAGCATCAAGGGACCAGCAGGGAAGAGGCTGCAGTGATTTGGGGAAACAGTGTGAAAATCACCTGGGGCCTGGCGACACGGGGTCCCGCCTCCTCCCCCATATTAGGTCCCAGAGAAAATGACAATATGAACAGCTCATGTCACCATTATTAGGCAGAGTCTTTATTCTTTCCTTAATCTTTGCCATTAAATTGAGCTCTATAGGACCATTTTCTGCTTTTAATGCCAATAAATGAAATTCCAGAGCTGCTTCTGTAAAAAAAAAAGTTTCATTTTCATTATTTTACTATTCGTTACATTAATTCTATTATTTTATTCTCTTTTTTGTTAGAAGAACTTCAGCCTGAGAGGGGCTATCCCTGCTGCCTTGTAGGTACAGAAGGGGAGAGAATGAGTCTCTCCAAAAAAGGGTTTCATGAAAGCACTGAGGCAAGATACTCACCTCAGAGGGTTCAGGACAAGGACACTCACTTTGTTCTGTGCGGTGTGGAGACGGGGGTGGGCATTCCTCCGTGGCACTAACTGGTTCCCTCTTGCCTTCAGCTGCCAGTGCCCTTGGACATGTCATTTGGACAAAACACTTTTCCATGTCCTGCCATCCATTCCACGGAGGCAGGAGAAAAGGGTCTGGAGGCAGGAACATAAGGCCGATTCACCCTGACTTCGGAGAACTAAATCAAATGGAAACTCTTGGGCTATGACAGGAAATATCCTCTCCATTTACACAGGGCGTACACCGAGTACATGATTTTGTAATTTTACTTCATCCTCTTTATTTACATAGAGTGTACACCAAGTAACCAATGGAAACCTCTAGAGGGTATTTAAACCCCAGAAACTTCAGTAACGGTCTCTCCATGCTCGGGCCCTCCCACCCTGTGGAGTGTGCTTTCATTTTCCATAAATATCTGCTTCTGTTGCTTCATTTTTTCCTTGCTCCATTTGTGCGTTGTGTCCAATTCTTTGTTCAAGGTGCCAAGAACCTGGACACCTTCAACCAGTAACATTATCTTACTATCTTGTTTTATTTTTTTATTTTATTTTTTTATTTTTATTTTTTATTTTTGAGACGGAGTCTTGCTCTGTCACCCCGGCTGGAGTGCAGTGGTACGATCTCGGCTCACTGGAAGCTCCGCCTCCTGGGTTCACGCCATTCTCCTGCCTCAGCCTCCCGAGTAGCTGGGACTACAGGCACCTGCCACCATGCCCGGCTAATATTTTTTTGTATTTTTAGCAGAGATGGGGTTTCACTGTATTAGCCAGGATGGTCTTGATCTCCTGACCTCGTGATCCTTCAGCCTCGGCCTCCCAGAATGCTGGGATTACAGGTGTGAGCCACCGCACCCGGCCTACGATCTTGTTTTAAAACTGAACTCAATTTTTCATCTGTTCACCTAGTTTTTAGATAATTACAATGAAATACACTTGGAATTTACCACAGCTTAATATGAGGGTCACTATGAGCTATACGACAGGTTTTATGTTTAAAAGTTTGCAACATTTTTTATTGCTCTTTCATTTACAAACTACAGTAAATGCTTTTTTTATGTTTAATTATGAAATATATGACACATAAGAGTCTATAAAACTTGGCTAGTCATGGTGGCTCATGCCTGTAATCCCAGCACTTTGGGATGCTGAGGTGGGTGGATCACCTGAGGTCAGGAGTTCAAGACCAGCCTGACCAACATGGTGAAACCCGTCTCTATTAAAAAAAATACAAAAAGTTAGCGAGCATCATGGCAGGCGCCTGTGATCCCAGCTACTCGGGAGGCTGAGGCGGGAGAGTCGTTTGAACCTGGGAGGCGGAAGTTGCAGTGAGCTGAGATCGCGCCATTGCACTCTAGCCTGGGCTACATGAGCGAAACTCCACCTCAAAAACAAACAAAGAAACGAACAAAACTGAATGCATAATCCTATAGAGTAATAATTGCACTGTTGTCATCATCCTTTAGCATCGAGTGTCTTGAAAGGCTACAATATGCCCTTCCTTGATCACCTGGGTCTCCCTTCTTCACCCATACATAGGACTCATGTGTTAATATTTGTCTTGCTTTTCATAAGGTTTATCATTTCTGTGTATATTATTAAGCAAAGTCATATGGTTTGTGTACTGTATATGGAATAGCAGTGTATTTTTCAGTAATTTCCTTTGTTCACTGTAATTTTTCATTGTTGATGCTTTTAACTGCAGTTCATTTTCACTGTTGTATAATATTGCACAATGTGAGTATGCCAACTTTTTTCCTTGATAGAGGTGTATTTGGATGGCCTTCAGGTGTTTTCTATTTCTACAATCACTGCCTAAATATTCTTGCCCCATATGTGTCTCTTGGACAAGACAGTGCAAGGGCATTTCTGGGGGGACATGCCTGAGAAGGCAAATGTGAGGCCACAGAGCTTTTTATGAAATACAGTCTCTTCACAGCTGCAACAGCAGTGGATACTTTGCCAGCAGTTGATCTTTTCCACCTTTTGGATTTTTGTGGCTCTGCTGAATTTGTTTCTTGAATTATTGGATGTATCCACAGTACTTTGTTTACTTATGTTTTGTAACTTTTTGCACCTGGACTTATCTTCCTTGGAATTTTATGTGGGGAGATATTTTGAGGACAGAGTTGCATTGTTTCAGCAAGGATTTTCTGCTCACATGGGGTAGAGGTGAAGCTAGCAGCCACCTGGTGCCACGTCAATTTGACCCATGCTCTTGATGTCTTCCAGCATGAACTCCTGGAGGACTGTTTCTCACTGGTTCTCAGGGTCAGTGGTTTTCCCTCCACCCATCACCAATGCAGGGACAGGTGCTCTCCTTGCTGCTCCTGCTCTAAGGTGGGCTTTTATTTTAAGTCTAAGATGTCAGATTTCCAACCTCATTTTGGAGAGGCGTCCGGTTTTCTTTCTTATGCCCTGTCCTCTGTGCAACTGTCTAAACAGAAAAAAAATTCCACTTTGGTTCCTGCCAATTCTTTATTGACTGCTGTGGATTCCATCCTTCAATGCCAGCCCAGTCGTGCACTTACAAAGATGTATTTTTGTAGGTTTTATCCAACAACTCAGTTGTTTTATTGGGAAAGCTACTTAGTGTCCCTTATGTTCGAAGTTGGAAGCTCCTGGCAACACCGTAGGTGAGACAGCTGCTCTTCCCCCTTTTCATCATCTTCGTGCTGGGTCCAGGCCTTCTTTGCTCTGTGATTAAGATGCCACAATGGGCTGGGCACAGTGGCTCACGCCTGTAATCCCAGCACTTTAGGAGTCCAAAATGGGTGGATCACCCAAAGCCAGGGATTCAAGACCAGCCTGGCCAACAAGGTGAAGCCCCGTCTCTACTAAAAGTACAAAAAATTAGCCGGGCACAGTGGTGGGCACCTGTAATCCTAGCTACTGCAGAGGCTGAGGCAGGAGAGTCTCTTGAACCAAGGAGGCAGAGGTTGCAGTGAGCCGAGATCATGCCATTGCAGTCCAGCCTGGGCAACAGAGTAAGACTCCATCTCAAAAAAATGTATATGAATAAATAAAAATAAAAATAAATTGCTGCTATAGCCTCTGAACTGCTTGGTCTGCCTCTGGCATCCGTTCTCATGCCCCACATTGGCAGAGATGCGCTCACACCCAGAGGGAAGGCAGGGAGACTGAAGGACTATTATTATTAACAAGAAAGACAAAATTATTCTGAGGACAATGTAATTCTGTTTCCTAGAAATAGTAAAATGCTTTGATAAATTATTAGAATTAACAAAATTCAGTTTAGCACTCATGTTCAAAATGATCACCAACTTTAATATGCCAACAGTAGCCAGACTAAGTAAGAAGAGGGAGTCAGGAGGTCCGCCCACAAGGGCTGGGCCTCTGCATAGAGGGCAGAAAGGTCGACTCACTCTGCAGCCTCCTGCTCCATCAGCATTTTCTGTGGTGACAGCCTGAAACGGCCTGGCCCTCCCTCTCCTGCCTGGGGCCTCCAGCCCAGTCTCAGGGCTGGGCAAGGAATAAGCCCCATTTAGGGCATTTCCTCACTTGACCTTCTTCTGGGCTGAAACGCATTTGCTTTCCAAGTGCTCGTCAGGGAGCCGCACATAGAAGCTCTTGTTTTCTCCCCACTGCTGACTGGTTCTGGGTTCGGGGGTTTTCTCTCCACTGCTGACTGGTTCTGGGTTCGGGGGTTTTCTCTCCACTGCTGACTGGTTCTGGGTTCGGGGGTTTTCTCTCCACTGCTGACTGATTCTGGGTTCGGGGGTTTTCTCCCCACTGGTGACTGATTCTGGGTTGGGGGGCGCCCCCCGTTCCCCGGGCTTCTTGGCCACTGCATCTTTGGCTTTCGCTCCAAGATTTTGACCTCAGTTAAGGATTCAGAAACTTTCTTTTTACACTTTATTCTCAGATTGTTTTTTTAAAAGTCAGGCCAAAAAAAAAAAAAAGACACAGAAAGTGGAGTGAGTCAAGAGTGAGTGTAAAGTTCCGAGGATGAAGCTGAACACGCACGAGCCTCTGTCAGGGTGGTGTCTATGCTCAGGAGCCATGTTCATCCCAGAGCTTCCCAGGACTGAGACCCTAAAAAAAAAAGGAAAAAAAAAAAAAGGAGCATAACAGAAGTAAATGCTAGGATTCTCCATAAGGTCCTTTTTTTTTTTTGGTGAATGGGTTTTTCCCTTAATTTCTAGGCATTTGGCATCATGGAAATAGAACAGCAGCATCTTCTACCTGCAGGGCTGAGATTTTTCGGGTGGACAGAATAAACCAGGGACCCGTATACAGATCAGAGGGTGGGTTGGCAGAAGAGGATGGGCACAGAGGATGTGGGATGATACCAAGCGGCGTTTCTACCATGATGTGTGTGGGATGCGGGGAGGGGAGAGAGAAGCAGGCAGGGAGACAGAGAGAGAGGGGGAGAGTGGGAGACGGAGAGAGAGAGAGAGAGGTAGAGGGAGATAGAAAGGGAGAAAGGGAGGGAGGGAGAGACAGAGAGAGAGGGAGAGAGAGAGAAAGGGATGGATAGAGGGAGGGAGGAAAGGACAGAGAGAGGGAGAAAGAGAGAGAGAGAGAGAGAGGACCAATTCACCACTTTTGTCCAAAGAACCAGGCCAACTGTCTGGAGCCCGAGCGTACCTTCTCTAAAGGGTTTTGGAGCATATGATTCCCTTATTCCTGCAGCTCTTCTAGAATATGACCATCTTCTGACTGTTATTCTATTTTTTTTTAAAAATACACTCCTATGATTATAGCTTGTTTTTCTATCTTGTAAGCTATATCCTGGCAACATTCCAGGAATGACTCTAATTTTATTAACAGTGGGTCCTCAAGTTTCTTCCTACAAAATAGACTTCTGGAACCCTTCCCTGGAGATGGGTAATTTCAGATCATGTTTATGAATTCCTGAGATTCTCATTCAGAGTTAATGATTTCCCCCCGACTTCTGCTCGTGGCTTCATGAGGATTTGTCTTAATTCTCTGTGGGTTGAGGGAGCCATCTTCTCTGGAACCTGCAGCCTTGTTTACAGGGGCTGGTGTGTGTGTGTGTGAGTGTGAGTGTGTGCACGTGCATACATTCACATACACACACACACTCACTTAGGAGGTTAAGGAAACCTCATTAGTATTCCTGTCTTTCAAACCACAGCAGGAAGGCGAAGCCCTGGGCAACACGCTGGCCTCCCGGTTCAGTGACTCCAGGTTCCCAGCCCCGGAGACAGGCCCCGCCTCATGGACTTACCCCTAGCATCTCTCTGCCTCAAAGGATGCTGGCCAGCTCTGTGGTGGGAGCAGCCTGAAAGTCCCTGGGATCTGGGAACTTTTATCGTTCTGAGGAACAAGAAAAACAGAGACACCTGGAAAAGCTTTGCAGGAGGAGTGGCCACAGGTCACCTGGTAGCATGTACATGTCTGCAGGGCCCAGCTGAGTTCTGGGGGATGGAAGGTGGCTCCAGGAAATGGTGACCTGAGGAACAGGTAGGGGCTGAGAACGTGGGGCCTCCTCTGGGAAGACCATCGAGGAAGCAGGACATGAGTGGGGAGGGGCAGTGTTGTGTGAGGGAGCTGGGCAGCACCGGGCAGTGTCCAAGAAGGGTGTGGGGGAGATGGATGGGTGGGGGCAGCCAGAGCAGAGAACAGGTGTAGACAGCAGGTGAGAGAGCAGGTGGGGGGAGCAGGTGTAGACAACAGGTGAGAGAGCAGGTGGGGGGAGCAGGTGTAGACAGCAGGTGAGAGAGCAGGTGGGAGGAGCGGGTGGAAGAGGAAGGTGAGAGAGCAGGTGGGGGGAATGAGTGTAGACAGCAGGTGAGAGGGCAGGTTGGGGGAGCAGGTGGAGGAACAGGCTGACAGCTGGGCAGGTGCCTCTTCAGCAGGTCTCTGTGAGTTTCTACTGTGGACTTTGCAGTGAGGTCAGTGGGAACCACGGAGGGTGTGAGAGAGAGTGTGTGTCCTAATGCTGGGAAGCTGGGGTTTCTCCACTGAGGCACGCATTGCTGGGAAGGCCAGGCCAGATCTCCCTGCCCCTGGGAGCCCCCGGGAGGCCAGGACAGATGGGCTATCTCTGTGTAGAACTAGAGCTTAGGGCCTGATGTCAGTGCAAGGCTGTGCCTCCACCTCCAGACCTTGAGGTCCACTTCACTCCTCTCAGGGAGCAGAGAGGTCAGGTGCTGCCTGGGTGGAGGCCTGGGACTTTTCACCACAGGACAAGCCCGCAGGGGCTGATGGCTGGCAGGAGAGGCCGGCCCTGCCTCCCGCTCCAGGGCTGCCCTCCCCCGCCCCGGGTCAGCTGCTTAGTCATCCCCACACTGGACTTCCTTGTATGGCCAGAAGAGGAGCTGGAGGGTGGTGCAGGGCTGACTGACCCCCGGGACCCCTCCAGCGTCTGGGGCTCAGCTGGGCAGATTCCAATTCTTGGTGGAGAAAGGAGAGCACTTAAAATAGCCTCAGGCAGCTTGCTTCCTAGAGAGGAGAGCCGGGTGGGCTGGGGACCAAGTGTCCAGGAATGACAAGTACCCCTGAGTTAGTCAGTGAGCTGTATGAGCCTCTTGGTAGGCAGTGACCAGCATTCTTTTTGTTTAATGCAATGAAATAGAACAAAAAATACCTGAATGCACCACATTGAGTAAGAGTAACAACCTCTTTGTGAAACTGATTTCAGCCCGCGTGTGGGTCAAATTAGATTCATTTCTTGGCGTGATTCATGGTTTTAAAAAAATAGTTTGAGTGAATCATATTTAAAAGAAGGTATTAAAATATTTTGAAAGTTTCTTACTGATTGGGGAAATGATCCATCTGTTTTCTCTCTGTCTCTCTAGCTCTTTCTCCCCGTCCCTCCCTCCCACCTTTCTTTGTTGTGAGGAGGACGCCTCCTTGTTACTTCGTTACTTCTTTAGACTGGGACCAGATCCCAAATGGTCCATTTGTAAGACAAACAGCAGCGTGGACGTGGCACTGTGCTCGTAAGGGAAGTGCCAGATTCATCCACGAGGCATTTTGAATAGACTTTACCCCACCACGATGCCAGCCTTTTTGAGGATGGCGGCTGTGTTTCTTTGCACAATGTTCAGTAGGGACCCCATCACCCCTATAGCCTGCCTCAAACATGGGACATCTTCAATCAGTGTTAGCTGAACTATGTGTCCTTTCCATGTTTATTGTATTGGAACAAATGGGGCTCTAGACACCTTTCTTTTGCTGCATTCCCTAGCTAGCTAGACAAATTTGGAATTTAGAAAATATATACCTATAGAGGCCAGGGGCAGTGGCTCACACTTGTTATCCCAGCCGTTTGGGAGGCCAAGGTGGGCAGATCACCTGAGGTCAGGAGTTTGAGACCAGCCTGGCCAACATGGCGAAACCCCATCTCTACTAAAAATACAAAAATTACCCAGGCATGATGGCGGGTGCCTATAATCCCAGCTACTTTGGAGGCTGAGGGAGAAGAATTGCTTGAACTTGGGAGTCGGAGGTTGCAGTGAGCTGAGATCACACCATTGCACTGTAGCCTGGGTGATACAGTGAGACTCCATCTCAAAAAAAAAAAAAAAAAAAATATATATATATATATATATATATATATATATATATATAGAAAAAATTCTTTAAAAAAAATGTTTTGAGACAGAATCTCACTCTGTTGCCCAGGCTGGAGTGCAGTGGCATAATTATAGCTCACTGCATCCTTGATCTCCTGGGTTCATGAGATCCTCCTTCCTCAGCCTCCTGAGTAGCTGGGACTGCAGGTGTGCGCCACCATACCTAGCTAATTGTTTTTTATTTTTAGTAGAGACGAGGTCTCACTATGTTGCCCAGGCTGGTCTTGAACTTCTGAGCTCAAATGATCCTCCTGCCTCAGCCTCCCAAAGTGCTGGGATCACAGACATGAGCCACCATGCCTGGGTTGAAAAGCAATTTCAAATAAATGAGTTTTATATACCTGTTACCAAGACTCTAATATTGAGAAAAACAGAAATCCTGGCCTAGTTGACTTTGGACTTCTTTAGTTTTTGGAGCGTCTGGTAAGCTCCCTGCTATGAGAATGAGGAGTGCCCGGAGTCCCCACCCCACTCAGCTTCTGTGGAAGCCTCAGCTGCCCTCATGCTCACGGGGTCCTGTGTCTCACTCCAATCCAAAAGGCTGGGACTGTGCATGCATGGGACACAATGCTAGGAGGCTTGGGGTTCAGCTCAAGATACTAACTTCAACCCTTGGGAATTCGTGTCTGTCTCTCTTCCTCACCTTCTAAGCCCTGCCTGCTGCTCAGAGCCTGGCCTGCAATCTGCACTGGGCATTCTGAATGGGGCATGAGAGAGGCAGGAATGAAGCCTCCCCAAGAAATGCTGAATCACACACTTCATTTAAACAGGACTTGTTGGGTGATTCTTATGCGTAGTAAAATTTGAGAAAGACTTTAATCGCTTCTGTATTATCGATTACTAAGTAACCTAAGCTTTTTTAAAAGACCCTCATCTTTACATAACTGTACTCGCTGACAGCCTGTGACGCCTTTCTCCCCTTCTTTCTCTTCTTTCTCGTGCTCTATGCGCCTGCTCGTCACCACAAGATGGCCCCAGAGCCCCATGAAACCTGTAAAGGAGTCTAGAGCCCTAAGTTGCTTCTCTCAAAGGTCCTGCTGATTTCCTGATTAAAAGATTAAAAGAGCCGGGCACAGTGGCTCATGCCTGTACTCCCAGCTGTTTGCAAGGCCGAGGCAGGCAGATCACCTGAGGTCAGGAGTTCGAGACCAGCTTGGACAACATGGTGAAACCCCGTCTCTACTAAAAATACAAAAATTAGCTGGGCGTGGTGATGTGTGCCTGTAATCCCAGCTATTCCGGAGGCTGAGGCAGGAGAATTGCTTGAACCCAGGAGGCAGAGGTTGCAGTGAGGCGAGGTTGTGCCATCACACTCCAGCGTGGGAACAAGAGCGAGACTTTGTCACACACACACGTACACGAAGAGTAAAAGTGAATCATTCCCAAAAAGAATAGATTTGGATATTTTCTCAGAAATTTTCTCTTCCAAACCTGTAGCTGTTTACAGGTCCCCATTACATAAGGTGGCTTTTGATCACTTTCAATGCAATGTACTTTCTGATATGTGATATGGATTTAAAATAACTCACAACCAACTTATTATAAGAATGCACTCTCCTTTAGGACATGGACATTTGAGGAACCACCTCTGAGCTCAGTATTTTAGCCTGAATCTACCTTCAAATCTAAAAAGATTATCGTATATTTTTGAGCCCAAAATAGGACGAAAAGTGTTGGATTTCTTGCCAGTGTTTTAGTCTTCTTTTCGTCCTGGCTTAGAGCTTTACTGTGGCATAACTGGTGCACAGTAAACTGCACATCTTTAAAACCTACACGGTGAGGAGTTCTGACTTATCTCCACACCAGCGAGACTTAGACCACAGTCAGAAAAACGAGGCTCCTATCACCCCAGAGTTCTCCGTCACTCGCTCTCCGCGAGCCCCTTGCCAGGAAGAGCTGCTTCCTGGCATTATAGATGTGTCTGCATCTTCTTGAATTGTGCAACATGGAATCATACAGTGCCTGCTGTTCTGCTGCCAGCTGTTCTTGCTCAGTGTGATGTGTTCGAGATTCAGCAACACAGGACGCATCAGCAGCTGCTGCCCTTTCATTGCCGAGCCCTCCTCCATTGCACCAATACATCCTGATTGGTCTAGCCATTGACTTGCTGGTGGATATCTAGGTCGTTTCTAGGTGTTAGTTGTCACAAATAAAGCTACAATAAATATTAGTGTGCACGTATGTTTATTGCGGCATTATTCACAATAGCAAAGATTTGGAACCAACCCAAATGTCCAACAATGATAGACTGGTTTAAGAAAATGTGGCACATATACACCATGGAATACTATGCAGCCATAAAAAATGATGAGTTCACGTCCTTTGCAGGGACATGGATGAAGTTGGAAATCATCATTCTCAGTAAACTATCGCAAGAACAAAAAACCAAACACCACATATTCTCACTCATAGGTGGGAATTGAACAATGAGAACACATGGACACAGGAAGGGGAATATCACACTCTGGGGACTATTGTGGGGTGGGGGGAGGGGGGAGGGATAGCATTAGGAGATATACCTAATGTAAATGACGAGTTAGTGGGTGCAGTGCACCAGCATGGCACATGTATACATATGTAACTGACCTGCACATTGTGCACATGTACCCTAAAACTTAAAGTATAATAATAAATTAAAAAATATATTAGTGTGCAAATATTTGTGTAGAAATAGACTATCATTTTTCTTTTTTTCTTTTTTTCTTTTTTTTTTGAGACAGGATGTTGCTCTGTTGCTCAGGCTAGAATGCAGTGGTGCAATTATGGCTCACTGCAGCCTTGACCTCCTGGGCTCAAGCAGACCTCCCAGGCTCAAGTAGTCCTCCTACCTCCACCTCCCTAGTAACTGGGACTACAGACACATGCCACCTTGCCTGGCTAATTGTTTTTTCATTTTTTTTTTTCATAGAGACAGGATCTCCCTCTGTTGCCCAGGCTGGTCTCGAACTCCTGGGCTCAAGCAGACCTCTTGGTTTGGTCTCCCAAAGCACTGGGATTACAGGCATGCACCACTATGCCCAGGTGCTGTCATTTCTTTTACAGAAATACCTAGGAGGGAAATGATGGGGTTATATGGAAGGTATATTTTTAATTTTTAAAGAAATGGTCAAACTGTTTTCCAAACTCATTGTACCATTTTTCATTTCCACCAGCAGTATCTGAGAGTTCCAGGTGTTTTACATTCTCACCAACAATTGGTAGGGTCACCTCTTGAGATGTGTGCGTGTGTAGTGGTATCTCACACTGGCTTTCAATTGTGTCTCCCTAATTACTCTGATATTCAGCACCTTTCCATGTGCTTATTGCCATCTGTGTGTCATCTTTAGAGAAGTGTCTGTCCAAATCATTGGCCCATTTTTTACTTGGAATATTTGTTTTCTTATGATTGAAAGTAAGACTAGTTTGTAAACTGTAGACAACATTCCTTTGTCAGATGCATGTTTTGCAAATAATTTCTCGCAGTCTTTAGATTGAAGATTTAAAGCACTTTTGAAATTTGATGAAATTTAATTTAACATAAAAAATTTATGATGGTGTTTTGGGCATCATATTTAAGAAGTTTTTGCCTAACCCAATTCCATAGTTAATTTTTGTATATAGTGTGAGGTAAGGGTTAGTTTCTATCTTCCTTCCTTCCTTCCTCCCTCCCTCCCTTTCTTCCTTCCTCCCTTTCTTCTTTCTTTTCTTTTCTTTTCTTTTTTCCCTTCCTTCCTTCCTTTTTTTTTTTTTTGACGGAGTCTCGCTTTGTTGCCCAGGCTGGATTGTGCAGTGGCACGATCTTTGCTCACTGCAACCTCCGCCTCCCGGGTTCATGCCATTCTCCTGCCTCAGCCTCCGGAGTAGGTGGGACTACAGGAGCCCGCCACCGCACCCGGCTAATTTTTTGTATTTTTAGTAGAGACAGGGTTTCACCATGTTAGCCAGGATGGTCTCGATCTCCTGACCTCGTGATCCACCCGCCTCGGCCTCCCAAAGTGCTGGGATTACAGGCATGAGCCACCACGCCCAGCTTGCTTCCTTTCTTTCTTTCTTTCTTTCTTTCTTTCTTTCTTTCTTTCTTTCTTTCTTTCTTTCTTTCTTTCTTTCTTTCTTCCTTCCTTCCTTCCTTCCTTTCTTTCTTCCTTCCTTCCTTTCTTTTCTTTCTTTCTTTTCTTTCTTTCTTTCTTTCTTTCTTTCTTTCTTTCTTTCTTTTTCTTTCTTTCTTTCTTTTCTTTCTTTCTTTCTTTTTCTTTCTTTCTATATGCAATGCACATGCTGCCATGTTCTAGAACCATTTGTTGAAATGACTATCCTTATTCTATCAAATGCCTTTGCATCTGTGTTAAAAATTGACTGTTTTAAGTGTGAGTCTATTTTTGTACTGTCTACCATTGATCAATGTGTCCATCCTTTCTCCAAT